>NW_017852930.1:300000-468267 GCF_000001405.40 Homo sapiens | reverse complement strand
GAGACAAACCATAAATGAGATCATTTCAGATGGTAGTAAGTGCTATGATGAAAATAAAATAGGGTAAGAAGGCAGACAGGCCTGGGATGCAACATGTACTACACATGCAAACGTACTGACAGGGGAAAGAATTTGGCTTGTTCCAAGAAGAATCAGAATGCAGGTATGCCAGGATCTATATCCTAGGGAAAGAACAACAAAAAGAAACAGGTGTGATTGGCAGAGCAGGTGGACTGAGTTGAGGCTGAAAAGTAGATGGGAGCCTGGTGAGGTCTTGGTGGTTTGATCTTAACTGCAGTTGGAAAGAATTGGAAGACAAGCAGGGAATGACAGTTGGAAAGAACGGGAAGACAAGCAGGGAATGACATGATTAGTGTTTTTTTTGTTTTTGTTTTAAACCAGGTGGCTGCTGAGAGCATGTATATGAGAGAAGCATTAGAGAAGATACAGGGAGATGAGGAGGTCGTCATAGTCCATGTGAGAGATGATGATGGCTTGCAGTTAGGCAGAGGCAATGGCAACGACAATGGCAAAATACAGTTGAAGGAGAAAAGTAACTAAGATAGGAGATGGCTAAGGCTATCTTTGACTTATCCAAATGGCTAATGGGGAAGACGGAGTGGTGTTAAAGAGTAACTGTTTTCCACACCCCTTGAAATTCAGTTCAGGCCATTACAGATCTGTCCTGCATGCTCCTGTATTAATTTACTATGGCAGCAGTAACAAATAATCACAAACTTGATAGCTTGAAACAATAAATTTATTCCCATAGTTCTGGAGGCCAGGAAGTCCAATATCAGTTTTATCGGTATCTGTAGGGCCATGCTCCTGCTGGAAGAGGCTCTGGGGAAGAATCTGTTCTTTGCCTCCTCCAGCTTCTGGTGGCTGTCAGCATTCCTTTGCTGCGGCTCCATCACTCCAATCTCTGCCTCTGTGGTCACTGTGCTTTCTCCTCTTCTGTGTGGTAATATCTCCCTTTGCTTCTATATAAGCATAGATGTAGCTGCATTTAGGGCACTCCCAGATTACCCAGAATAATCTCTCCATCTCAAGACTTTAACTTAATCATATCTTTTGCTATAGAAGAGAACATTTCCAGGTTCCAGGGATTGGTATAGGGATATCTTTTGGGAAGTCATAATTAAGCCTACCACAGTTCCTAAAGTGTTTGAAATCATTTCTGGTGCAAGTAATAAAGTTGTGTTTGTGTAGAGATCAAACTGGAAAGAAACACCGTGAAAGTAATTTTAAAAATGCCGTTCAGCAAAGAAATGTTAGAAAAAGAATTTCATAAGTGGATTTCCAAGATTACTAAGAAAGGGATGAAAAAACACAGGAGGGTTCCATGGACTCTAGACGGATCATCCCAGACATTAAAGTCAATGCTTAAAAGCACGGTTATATTCACACATTGTATAGTGGGCACTCAAATGCACAATAGTTTGTCATGTTAGCAGGGCTGGGGATAAGCTGGTGGTGGCGCACAGATGGGAGGGATAGCGAGAAGGCAGTGGACACTGGAATGGGAATGCAGAACTGAACCAGCCCACAGAGGTAGGGCAAGGCAACAGGTTCGGGTACATCCAAGTAGCTGTGGCTAGCAGGCCCAATGAGGAAGCAGGAGTGACACTGCAGGAAAGCAGAGACCACTAACAACTCCCAGAATGGGTAATATTTAGAGATCCAGGCAGGCTGCTGGCATCAGGCTAATATCTCAGAGAGTAGTTAAACTTTAGGCTCTTGATTGGGGTTCCAGGGCAGGACTCTGTCACTGAAAGGGAATCCTAGTTCTCAGCATACTAGGAAAAATAGCCAAGAGAGGAACTTATGCCCTAAAGAACAAGGCATGAATCTAATTAGCAGCACTGGGGTCCAAGATAGAGCTGGACAAACAACAAGGATAACTCATCCCAAATTCTGGAGTGCTTATCCAGAACTTGCTAAGTGCTACTTCCTAAAGACCAGAACCTCCAGGCAGATTTGCAAGTAGGGGGAAAGTCTAATAAAACTTTAGGTAATTCTGATGGAAAAAGGCAAGAATAACATTCCTGTGTTTGAATTTATAATACAGCCTAAGACATAAAGAAGTCATTATTGACAATGGGAAGGAAAGTAATTTAATATGCAACATAACTCAATCCATGAAATAAATATTTATTTATGTAATACAATTTGCTAAACACCACCATTATTAAGGAGAGTACTAGGAAAAACTACCAAACACAGCATGTGAAACAGTTGGGCACGGTGGTAAAGGGCACAGACTCTGGAGCCACAGCCGGCTAATACACTGCAATATTTTATGTTTAGCAAATTATAGCTGGTCTGTGTATAACCAGAAGAGCGGTATCTGGGGGATCAGGATATCTAAATTCTAGACTTACAGCCTGGCCCTGAATCTAACTATCAATGTTGCCTTGGAAAAACTGCTCAAACTTTTGATGTCTAAAGTTTCAGACTTGTAAACTTGAGAGGGTTGAGGTCCAAGGTCCCTTAAATGTAAACTTTAAAATGCTTTTTTGGGAATCTTTCAAATCTTCAAGCTCTTCAAAGTGCAACCAGACTTTCTCCTTACTATACAGTCTGAACAACTTTGAGAATCACTGTATTATCTTAGTTTATATAGTAATCCTGACCTAAATTTTATTATTCTCATTTTGGAGACAAGGAAATAGAGGCCTAGGCTAGCATGGCTAAATAAGTGATAAAGCTGGGAATAGATTTTAACTCTGCCCATTTTAAAGCTGTGCATTTTCTATTTTTCTGTAAGTTATTCTGACATTAGACTTAATTTTCACATAGTAGGCTAGGATTCCAAGCACTCAATATCTATATATTTATCCAGATAGCTCTTACTTTGATATTTCTAAGTCTATACTTTGAGCTAACATTTGCTCTGTTCTCTCCTATTTCAGCACTCCCTTTTCTTGTTATTTATGGTGTTGTCAGCCCATATGGTCTAACTCTCATTTCATACTCCTGTTGAATGTCTCCTACATGTCTGTTTTTTAGCAGTAACTCCTGACTTTTATCTGAAATAAAATTTTTAGGTACTTGCTCATTTCATCCACTTTATGATGAAAAAAATTAGCTAGGTGTGAAGTTGGTGCTAAAATTATAATAAACAGAGGATGTAACAAAGACAAGAGAAATAAAAACTCCAGTATTTTCCTTTTTTTTATATTTAGGTTTTCATGAGACAAGGAAGATGATTTCATGTCTAAACACTGGAACAAATGAAATCATATTAATATTATAATCACTGCCATCTTCTAAAGGAAATTCTAAATGAATATTTGAATGGAAAAATAGTACTTAATATTTAGCTTTCAGAATACAGAAACATTGTAGAAAGACTGTGTGATACCAGTGTATGTATTTTTGAGGTAATATTTATATAATTAGTTACTCTCACAACCAAGGGAAAGAAATACTGCTTTTTGGACACTTTCTAGAAATACTGCTTTTTGGATATTTTCTACGTTAACTTTTCAAGAATTCTACACTGTTGTAAAATAAATTCAGTTCAGTGGTATAGCAGTTATACAAATATATGTAAGCTCTATTACTAGATTAACTTGAAACAGTAGAGTGGTTACTAATTATGTGTTATTAATAAAAATATTAACAAAAAGACCAAAATGTGCAAGGGCACAGTAACAAAAATATAATTATCAATATAGCTATCTTATTAGAGTAAACCATAGTATCATCAGGCTTAAAAAAAACTAAGGTCATTGTTTTTTCCGACTCTTCCTTATAAATACAGTGGATAACTCTGATCAGTTATCCTTATTTACATTCCCTGTGTACAAATTTGCTGATATTGAACACTATTTTCAAACACATCATCATCTGATTAAATAGGTTATTATTACTGAAAACTTATCAAAGCTTTCAAGGCTATTAATGGTTTCATGCAACTTAAAACTTCTAATTTTGGAAGCAACCGGTTAATGAATTTTTTCCTTTTATTGGTAAACAGCCACCATATACCAATGACATTATCAATATGTAAATATGGTATTTAACATGCTTATATTTTTCTTAAGAGCTGGAATACAGACTTTGCAATATATCTGAAACATCATCAAATATTTTGATAATGCCATTACAATACAACCTATGTGTGGCATTAAAAAAATTACGAACCGGTCATAGTGCATTTTTCTGAACTTAAATTTTCTAGAGGCTAACATAACAAAATTATCATTTTGACACAGTATATTGCAAGTGTCTTTTATAAAGTTCACAGTCTTTTCTTGTTGCCTCTTTCTAAACGATCCTGTAAGGAAAAAAATATGATTTATGTAGTACAGCAAAGAGAAACAGATTCATAGACATGACAAGGACTTTTAAAAAACATTCTCTCTTCTATGTATACTTATGAGAATAATTAAATGTGAAAAAAAGGATTGAGAAAGTCTAAAATTTAAAAAACTATAAAATTTGTGGTTTTTACTTAGGAAAAAGAACACTCTTGGTAAGTTCATTTTTCCCCTTGCCTTAATCTATTTTGCTTTTGTTTCACAGGTTACATTAGGAAAACATGATTTCTAAAATTCCCCTACTGTTAACCCAATTAAGGTTTTTGGTAAATGAAAGAAGGAAGGGACAAAAACCTCAGCTAGGGTGGCTTTGGTTTTGTCCTTCAGATATTTGCCAACAGAACTGACTTCTCAAATTATACTTGGCTGATCATGTTATAAAGATTACTATATTACATCATTTAAAACTGAAGGAAAATGGAAAAGAAATTAATCTTAAGAGATCACTTGTGCTAAGAAAGTAAATGTCTACATCATGAAAAATATCTCATAAAATGGGGTTGCAGAGTGTTATTGCTTGTATAAAGAAGTTCGTCAAGCTCTTGTTCAGGCTGAACATTAATGCTTCCATAGCAACTTTAATAACATTAACTTTTGCAATCAAATAAAAAGACAAGAGTAGAGGAGGTAAATTACTTCCACAAGTTTACATATGTGGCCCCCTTTTGATAAAAAACAAAGCTTTAATGAAGCTATTATGGACAAGTCCCTTAAGTGATGGCTGATTTTCCAAAATGAAATTTAAAAACTGGCAGGTGCTGATGGGTTTGTGCAGCCAATAATCTCTAGTTAGTTCTGTTTTTCTTTTTTTTTAGAAGAGAGGCAGGGCAAATAAGGAAAGGACTACATGTTTTGAAGGGACTGTTTTCTAATATTTATTTAGTGCCTATAACAGGGAGGGGACCAGATGGGGAAATCCAAAAGGATTTAAAAGATGCAAATTGGGATCTATTTACAGTAAAGAAATCAGCGTTTCCCTCTTTAACCTTTGTTTCCTTAATATTTTAATGATCTTTCGTTTTATGATTGTTCCAATGAAAATATGTCAACTGTGTAAAATTCAGGAAGCTAGTTCCAAAGAACCTTAGCATATAATTCAATATCTAAGATTAGTTTGACAACAGAAGTAAATTCATGAGGACAATTTGATAGAGCTTTTTACCATAGAGGATCTGTAACTATCTTTTGCTTCTCAAGCAGGGCTCAGACGAACATTAAAGCACAAGAGTTAAAGAAAAGGGTTCTTGGCTGGGCACGGTGGCTCGAGCCTATAATCCCAGCACTTTGGAAGGCCCAGGTGGGCGGATCGCTTGAGGTCAGGAGTTCGAGACCAGCCTGGCCAACATGGTGAAACCCTGTCTCTACTAAAAATACCCAACTTAGCTGCGCATGGTGGCATGTGCTTGTAGTCCCAGTCACTCAGAAGGCTGAGGCACAAGAATCGATTAAATTGGGGAGGTGGAGGTTGCAGCGAGCTGAGATTGTGCCACTGAACTCCAGTCTTGGTGACAGAGTGAGACACTGTCTCAAAAAACAAACAAACAAACAAAATGGGGCTCTTAATGATATCTAAATCTGAGAATCTTATACAGGGTCTCATATTGGACAACGGTGGGGGATGGGTAGGTGAAGGAAAAAAATGTAACCAGTCAGGACATAATAAATAGCATTCTTGATTATAAATATATAAAGTGCTTTCTTATACAGGATCTGGTTTAATTTTCATAAGGTATTACAACCTTTATTTAAGTAGTAAAGTACCTGAGGAGCATAGATGTCAAATGAGTCACCTGTGGGTTACAGAAGTGGTAAACTATGGAGCTGAGATTTTGTTTTCCTTCCAACAGAGATATTATGGGAAATTGGTTTTACAGGTGATGAAAAAGTACACACACCAAACAGGGTGGTAAGGCACCTCTGGGATTATCAATAGCAGAAAAGCCACCACCACTTCTTGGGCTGGAGGGATGAGGGTTATGGAGCCCAGGTGCGAAGGCCAGTATGTAGAAGCTGCCCAGTGGGACCTAGAGGGAAGGAACTGGAGTCATAAAGGAGAAGGCCTCTATAGCAGAAAGAGTAGAAGAAATCCCTGGCTTTCCCCTTCCTCCTGCCTTCAGTCTTCTAGTGCCTGCCACTGGCTAAACCTGCCCAGACTGAGTCAGACAGCAAGGGAGCCTTGGAAACGGGCCTCCCAGAGATACAGAGTAAAGCAGTGGTGAGAGGAGAATGGATCCAAGAACACAATCCAATGATCAGCAAAGGCCAAAGAACATAGTGGTTAATGATGGAGGTTCTGGAGAAAGATTCTCTGACTTTGAATGCTATCACTTTCTAGTTACTTTCGATAAATTATATAACATCTCTGGGTCTCAGTTTCCTCATTCACAAAATAGGGATATTAAAATACTTTCAATTATTGAGCTGTCATGGAGAGTAAACAAAACAACATATACGAAGCCCTTAGCCAAGTGCTTAGTCCAGAGCATACTCTCAACAAATGACATCTATTAAATATTTCAAAAACTGGATACAAGCAGAAATTAGATCAAGTCCTGAAGTGCTATCAAACAAGGCCCTACTCTCGGCATGGTGTCTGGCATAATCTGGGATGGGGTCTTTTCCACAGAAACAGGTATGACAACTATTATAACAACTATTTTCTTGGGAAGGAATCACTTTTTTTTTTTCTGAGATGGAGTCTCGCTCTGTCACCCAGGCTGGAGTGCAAAAGCGCGATCTCGGCTCACTGCAACCTCTGCCTCCCAGGTTCAAGTGATTCTCCTGCCTCAGCCTCCCGAGTAGCTGGGATTACAGGCACTTGCCACCATGCCCGGCTAATTTTTTGTATTTTTAGTAGAGACAGGGTTTCACCTTGTTAGCCAGGATGGTCTTGATCTCCCATGATCCGCCCGCCTCAGCCTTCCAAAGTGCTGGGATTAAAGAAAGGTGTGAGCCACCACGCTCAGCCAGGAATCACTCTTAAAAGCTTTCTACTTCCTTTACCAAGAATGCAGCAGCTCCAGGCTGACTGTGGCTTTTCTGTGGGGAGGAAATGGGTTGAGGAAATCTCACTGTTATATATATTCTTCAGAATTAAGAGAACCAATGGCTGTTACCACAATGGAGACATTCAACAATGGAGACATTCAACAATGGAGACATTCAACAATGGACACTGGCCATAAGAAACTGAAGGCATACTTCTGGTTTTCCTTTCTCCATTCAAAGATCTAAGCATGTCTGACATCATGGCAAAGTCCACTAATGTCGATACTCAACCTGGCTGAGTAAACCCTAATCTCACAAATAGGGGGAAAATGTTGTATTTCTAGGCAAGAGGTCTCTGAAGTGACTTCTTCACTTTCCAAGGTGGACCTTGAAAGATACCACGAATAATTATCATGCCCCAATGAGGTCAGCAATTTTAGGGTCTCTATTTTTGAGACGGGGAAGGGGTGGTCTTGCTGACAATCTACCTATCTGCTCCAGGCCATGTGAACTGAGCCCTCAGTGTCCTGGGATTGGAGCATACAGGGTATTCACCCTTCTCTGGCTACCTTGTCTTTTGCTATTGTCAAAGTAGGCTAGTTAAACCAAACATGCAAACCAACTGGGAATATCAGATTACAAATATGTGCTTTGGGTTACTTAATTACTGGCTCTAAACCAAGGCCAAAGTGGTTGGTTGAGAATAAGTCATTCTTTCAGCAAAATTCCTACAGAGGAAGTAATACAGATGATGATGATAATACCTATCATTTCTTGAGTGTTTACTGTCAGCTAGGCATAGTGCTAAAAAACCTACACATTTTATTTAGTTCTCTTAACAATCCAGTGAGCCAGGCATCATTATTGTTTCAATTTTTATAGATGAAAGAAGTGAGCCCCAAAGGGATGCTATAACCTGCCTAAGATAAAAAACCTAGCATGCAGCCAGGTATAGGTAGGTATTCCAAGTAGGTCTGACTACAAAGTCTATGAGTATAGTGTATGCTTGCCTTGTGCCAGGAACAGTGCTGAGTCTTGGAGATACCATGACCATTAAGATGCAGGGAAATGTGTACAGTGAAATAAAAAGCTATTATTTGTAAAAAGCCCTGACTGAAAGCCACAAAGGCTGCCAAATTTTGAAGACAAGCCCAACCAGTCTGTCTTGGGAGAAACTGGGAGGGAAGGCCAGGGCTGTCTCTGGAATGGTCTCTTCCCCAATTGATCAGAGTGTGTCTGAGAAATCAATTCAGGTTACTGGCTGGCAGCAGAAGGGAGGGAGGAAAGACAAGCCTAACAGGGATGACCATTTCTTTTATTGAATTAGAGAGAAAGAGAAAGAAAACCTATGGCCCAGATCTGACTTTGTGGCTTTAACAATGAAACATTTTTTTCCCATTTCCATCTTTCAAATCAACATTTGGAGGTAAATGATAAATTTGAATGCTAAAGTCTTGTCCTAATATGTCTAAAACACTGAGACAAGAGTAGTGTGATGTGGAACTTGAAATTTTGGCCTCATTTTGGCATGAATATGGCAAACATCCCAAAGAGCAAAACTCACCTTTTCTAGAACCAGTCTGTTTTCCAATGCTGCCATTTTTGTGGCTTCTTTTGCTTAAAAATTCACCAAAACTGGAATGCTGTAAGTATGCAAGTCAGCAATTCCTTAAAATTATCTTGTATTTTCCTGCAATGTCCTAATCTTTACCCTCTAGGTAAAAATCTGGCTTCTTTAAATCGTTTAACAAAGCCAGGATTAAGTACATCATCTTGATTAGTTAAGGACAAATAACCCAAATAATTTACTTAGGTAATTACTATTTCAAAACATTTAGGTGCATAAAGTGCATGTCACACCCACCTGAAGTTCAGAGTGTTCTTTCAGGAGTTGATCATATTCTTTCGAAAGTCTCTCTGACTGCATCTTCATTTCCATCACATCATTTTGTGCCTTAGAAAGGGCTAGAAAATATCGAATAGTTTTATTTTTATTTCAGAATAATTTCAAATTTATAGAAAAGTTACAAGGCTTAAATAGAGAACTCCTGTATAGTCTTTACTCAAATCCACTGTTAACATTGTGCTACATTTGTTATCATATTCTCTCTCTTCACACACACTATTATTTTCTTGACTCATTTGAGAATAAGGTGCAGGCATCGTGCCCCTCTACTCTTCAATACATTTCTGTGAATGTATTTCCCAGAAACAAAATATTATCTAACATAACCATAGTATAGTCACCAAATTTAGGAAACTTAATATGAATACAATACTTTAAATCTAATTTATCATCCATATGCCAGTTTTTGGAACTGTCTTAATCATGTCCTTTAAGCATTTTCTCCACTGCTAGTCCAGGATACAGTGCAAGATCACATATTGCATTTAGTTATCATATCTCTTTAATTTCTTTTAATCTGGAATAATTCCCTACCATTATCACAGCCCTCTTCTCCCCATCTTTCATGATACTGACATTTTAAAGAATACAGGCCACTTTTTAGATAGAATGTTCTTTCACTTTGTTTTTGTCTGATGTTTCCTCATGAATAAATTCAGGTCATGCATCCACTTACATATGAATATAAGTGATATTAAATGCTTCTCAGGGCATCCAGAGGCCCATTACATCCAAAGTTCCTCTGTCCCTCACTGGTTTTTCCATTTTATACTTACAATTTTAACCTTTGTAACTAAAGCAGCAATATATAGGAAGACAATTTAGTCTATGCAAACATCCTGCTCCTCAAGATAATGGCACACAAGAATTACTATATATTGACCTTTACCTACCAAGGAGCTACAAGTCATATGTCAGCAGATTCAGGGCCTTAGATAGAAGTAAAATAAATATATATATATATATATATATATATATATATATATATATATATATATAAAACAATACATTGTGAAGAAGGTGCTAATGAGCAAAATATGTAGAAGAGCTGTACAAAATGGGGTAGAAAAATTAGAGTTGTCATACTTGAAACTTTTATCTCATATAGTGCTTTCAGAAATCATTTTTCCAAACTCTGGGAATCCTGAAGTAGCTCTATATCATATGTAGCCTTCAGAAGTTCTACATTTGGAAGTATTTTAGGGTAGGAGTTTAAGGGAAAAAAGTAGAATTTATAAATTTAAAAGCTACTTTTCTGGCACAATGAAATAAAATTATAGGTTCCAGTTATAAACAATCTTTTCTCTTGAGAAGTCATCATATAGGCATTTTTATATAAATATATAAGCCATTATCAACTAAAGTGCTTTTTGTATCAGTACTTTCTAGACAGTATTGTCAAATGTTCTACATAGTTCTACATCTGCGTTGTCAATACGGTAGTCACTACTTAGATGTGGCTATTGTGAACTTTAAATGTGGCTAGTTTAAGTGAGGACCTATATTTTCAATTTAAGTTCAATTAAATTTAAACAGCCACATGTGAGCTAGTGGCTAGCCATATTGGGCAGCACAGCTCTATAATTTCCTCCATGTTCCTTCTATAGCTGCATAATTCTAAATAAGGTATTAAAGACTGATTTTGACAAATTTAATGTGATGTCACTTGCTAAAGGTATGAGTCAGGTATGGAAGACACTTTTGGGGATGGTTAGATTTCATTAGGACCACCTTCACAACATAAAGAGTTATACGTTAGTTTTCAATTTGGGTTCTACAAGGCATTTCCTAGAGGCTACTTGAAAATATGATGCATGGTGGTGGTATCTTCAGAGCTCAGCAAAAAAGTTTAAGACCCTGGATTTCTGGTACATAAAATACACAGTAGATTCCACAATCTAATAGTGGCTGACTAGCCTGCAATGGTGTTTATTTTTTTTTGAGACAACATCTTGCTCTACCACCCCAGCCAATTTTTAAATTTTTTGTAGAGATGAGGTCTCACTATGTTGCCCAGGCAGGTCTTGAACTCCTGGGCTCAAGCAATTCTCTCACCTCAGGCTCCCAAAGTGCTGGGATTACAGTTGTGAGCCACTGCCCCTGGCCTACAATGGTAGTTTTAAGAATGTTGTTGTTATGGTCCGAATGCTTGTCTCTCCACAAAATTCATATGTTGAAACCTAATTACCAATGTGATCGTATTGGGAGGCGTGGCTGGGGAGTGATTAGGTCATAAGGGTGGGGTCCTCATTAATGGGATTCGTGCACTAATAAAAAGAGGCCCCAGAGAGCTGCCTTTCCCTTTCCATTATGTGAGAACATAGCAAGATGGTACCATCTACGAATCACGAAACAGGCCCTCATCAGAGGCCTAATTTATTGGGGCCTTGATCTCAGACTTCTTAGCCACCAGAACCGTGAGAAATAAATTTCTGTTGTTTATAAGCTACTGAGTCTAGAGTACTTTCTATTAAGACAGTTGGTCAGGTGCTTGTAATGAACAGGAGTTGGTCTTAATGTCAAAAACAATTTATACTTGAATTTCTGACATTAAGAAGTTATTTAATAAATTTAATATATCTTAGATATCAACCCAGTAGTTCCTTTTTAAAAGAAGCTAGAAAACCACTTGTACAGCCTATCTAGGAGTTTCTTCTGGTTACTACTGGTATAAAGTTATTAACGGAACAAATGCAGACAAATACTGTTTTTCTGCCACTTACTAAGCCAAGGTATAAAATGTGTTTCTTATTTCATTTTGTATTTCAGTGGATATTAATAAATCTAATGAATACTATCACTCCAATTAGGGGAGGCTATTATTGTCTAGACACATCTTGGACTGTTTCCCAGTCCTTTATCTCATTTTATAAAAATTATTGTGTTTTGGATGCCTTCCACCTCCTTTTGCAACTGCATCTGTAACCAAGGGACTATATAAACTTGTTATCTGACATGTGAATATGCTTATTTTATTTTGAGGCATATTATTTTGGAAACAGCATATATAAGAAAAATATTATTGGACAAGGAGGCTTTAGATGATACATCTAAGTTGCTACTGCAATTTTCTTAACTGCAAAAACGGGCTGCTATCACTTGCCAGTGGCTTTATGGAAATACTGAGATATTTGCTAAGAATACTGGCTAGATTCAATAAGAGACTGTTATGTCCTAGGTTATGGTCCATTAGATATTTTTAAAGGCACTTGCATCATTTATTAATATAGAAAATGACTTCAACTAATGTTACAGTGACACATAGTAAGCAAAAACATTTGTTGTCTTTCCAAGTGTCAAACGTTCACTTACGGAACTATTTGCAAAAGTGGGAGGAGCTGGTGAGACTAATGTACCGTGTAAATGTATTGTATCACTGTGATTTCGACCAGAGATAGAAACACTGCCAGTAAAGCTCTGCCAGGAAATGGAAGTTTTTAGAGGCACTGGCATGACAGCTAAAGTTGGGCTGTTGTACAACAGCTGTAAGGACTGAGCCAGAGGAAAACATATTTTATTTGAAAAATTTCCATATGTCTAGTGTTGGTTTCTTTCCAATTTATTTGGTTCTCTTTCTGAGAATTCAAGAGTGTGATACACTGGAGCTATTCAGTATTTAATCCTCACATGTACTACTCCTTTGCCAATGATCACTTATTGGATTGTTAATCTACAGTAATGCTTCCAAGATACTTGGAAAGTAGACATACAAACTTCTGTTCAGTAAGGACATAAACTGTGGTTTAATTATATTATCCTTCTTTTGTACATGCCTATATTGTGAGGTCTGTGTAGGTAAAGATTTACGTTTTATTCATCACTTCAATCAACACCTAATCTCTTTTAACCTCACACCCATCTGTTGATAAAGTTTGTTGATAGCTGTTAAGTTCCTTTATAGCTCTCCAATCCATACCTTCCACTCCAGCTCTGTGACCACTGTCCTCATTTCCAGATTAGATTATTAAGTGGATTTCTCACGTAGTTGCCCGTCTACTTGAATCCATTGTCTATAATGCTGTCAAAGTGATTGCTCTTGTGCCTAAAAACCCTCTAAGAGTGCCCTGAAAATGTTAACGTACAAACAGGGCATATGAGGCCCTTCAGGATGGCTTCTAGGCCTACTGCTCAACTCTCTCCACTGGTTCCATCTTCTTTTACACTCCAGTTGCCTTGAGCTCCTTGTAGTACCTCAAAAGTGCCATACTCCTTTGGTTACATGCTGCTCATTTTTGTTATAACACCTTGTCCATCTCCTCCTACTTCATCTGGCTAATTAATGTCATCCTTTAAAATGTCAAGAAAGTGTCGATCTCCAGTGTTGGCTTCTACTACAACTCAAGTTTCACCACACCACGTATTGAATTGAAGGGCAACTATGCCCTTACTAGACTATGGACTACTCAAGAAACAGAGCTGTGTCTTATCTGTCTGAGTACCTAGCATATTGCCTAGTATTGGTAAGTGCTTAAAATATGCTCCTTGAAGGAATGAAAGAATGAATAAATGAAAAGTGTAAGCTTTAAGCATTTGAAAAATTCACTTGTGTGTAAACAGTTCACTTGGAAATGATAAATGTCAGGTGAACAATACAAAGTGTTACTTTAGTCACCTGATAGTAATCTTGATAAAAACACCGTCAATCAAAAACCAAAATACTCAGGATAGCCAAAACAAAGCAAAGAGACCATTCTTGAAATATTTTGATGAAAATATACTCATGTTACAAATATCTCATACTACTCCAGAATCAAAAATAAAATATAAATAAATAGTACCAAAGAATCCAGCCCAATTAAAAAAAATCCCTAAACATTGATTCTAAGAATGGGGCAGGAAATGTTCAAGATAAGCCTGGAGTATCTTGTAATGCCAGAAAGTAAGGAAGTGCTCCAAAAATGAAACAAACAAACAAACAAACAAACAAACAAATATCCAAAATGGAAATGTGTCAAAGGGACACAGGAGCCAAATGAAAGAGCTCCCAATGGTGAAAGCTGGACAACCTGAACAATAAACTAAAGTAGTATTAAATTATAACCCAAATTATAAAATAAATACCTATGAGTCCATACTGACAAACAAATGGTAGACAACAGACAAATCTGTGTAGAATTCCAAACAATTTACACAGATACTCTGCTTTCAAGGAGGTTGAGCGTAACTTCCCTTTCTTATTTTTTTTTTTTTAATCCACTCATTTGCACACTGATCCCCATTTCTGAAGTGTGGGCTGTGAACAGTGATTCACAAAGATTACGGTATGGAAAAAGGAGGGAAAAGAGGAACTTTACAGTTCAGAAACTAGACAAGCACTATTTTAGCCAGGTGATCAAGGTCAACATCAAAACTGATAAGTTATGTTAATAATATGTACTCTTGATACAATGTGATGAAAGCTGGCACCTCTGTGACTTTCAAAACCTATACAAAAGTAGAAAACATGGAATCCAGGCCGGGCACAGTGGCTCACATCTGCAATTCCAGCACTTTGGGAGGCCGAGGCAGGCGGACCACCAGGTCAGGAGTTCAAGACCAGCCTGGCCAACATGGTGAAACCCCATCTCTACTAAAAATACAAAAATTAGCTGGGCATGGTGGTGTGTGCCTGTAATCCCAGCTGCTCGGGAGGCTGAAGCAGAATTGCTGGAACCGGGACCTGGGGGGCGGAGGTTGCAGTGAGCCAAGATTGCGCCACTGCACTCCAGCCTGCACTACAAAGGGAGAATCTGTCTCGGAAAAAAAAAAAAAAAAAGAAAAAGAAAGAAAACATGGAATTCAGGAAAGAGGGTATCAATACAGGAAAGAGGCAAAGGAAATCCTCATAATGATGATGAATATATAGTTGTAATAATATGATATAGTAAAAGTTATGATATATTTAAATTGAAAGGATGGAGGGGGATGGGAAGTATGAGGAGCCAGGAGGGAAACTGGGTGAGATAAAGAGGTCTAAGTCCTCGTCTTCCCTATAACAAAGTCAAAGATAATATCCCATACTGAAAGATCAAGAAAAAACTACCTAAACACTGCATTTAGAAACCTGGAGGCACATATCAGAGAACATTATTTTTGAGACAGGATCTTACTCTGTTGCCCAGACTGGAGTGCAGTGGCACAATCTTGGATCACTGCAACCTGTGCCTCCCAGGCTCAAGCGATTCTTCTGCCTCAGCCTCCCGGGTAGTGGGGATTACAGGCACGTGCCACTACCATCCGGTTAATTTTTATATTTTTAGTAGAGACAGTGTTTCACCATATTTGGCCAGGCTGGCCTCAAACTCCTGAGCTCAAATGATCCACCTGCCCCGGCCTCCCAAAGTGCTGGGATTACAGGCGTGAGCCACTGCGCCCGGCCTCAGAGGACATTTCTAAAGGAGTTGAATGTAGTTGCTTCTGGGGACAGGGCCTCAGGAGACTGCTCTTTTTCATTATAAGCCTTGTGTTACTATTTTGCTTTAAAAATATGTATATGTAAAACTTTGATAAAATAAAAAAAAGTAAAAGGTGCTCCAGATAAATACTCCCTTTTATAACAAAGGCTCTCAGAGCTGGGAAGACCTCTAGAGATCTAGTCCCATTTTTTATTTCCCTAACATAATTATAATGAAAAGAACATGCTAATTTCTTAAATCATTTCTTCTGCAAAGTTTTATTATTCCATATCAATAGTTCTAATAAATGTTCTAAACAAACAGCCACGCTCTAACACTAATGAGAATTGGTTCTGTTTACTGGCATATCCTCTCTTCTCCCAATGCCCTACATTTAAGACTTGTGGCCCCATTTCACATAGCACACTTGTGTTCCCATTTTACATAGCACACTTGTGTTGTGAGCTAACAGATGCATAAAACCTGCCAGATCCTGTCCTAAAGATCCTAAGATTGCATGAAACATTCTTCAAAAGTGAAGAATGTGGCTTAATCACCTGCTGAGCTTATTAAGTTTGGAGAAAGGGAAGTTACTGTGAAAAGATTTTTCTCATGAAAAATAAATATAATTTGAAGGGTCAAAAAGCCAACAATGAAAATAATTCTTGATAGTCAGTTTTGCTTAATTACATTATTTGGAGCTATATAATAGACATTAAAGTTTAACTAGTTCAGTCTCTCATTTTACAAAAGAGAAAACTATGCCTAAAAAGAGTCAATGACTTCACCAAGATTACCCAGTGTATCCTCAGATTTTGCAATGTAATTCATATAACTTAGCAAAAGCTATATGAACAGCTTCTAATATTTAGGGTCTACCAACAAAGTAAAGTTGGAATACAGCCAATTAATTAGATAATTCAAGCCAAAAAACTACCGCCCTAGATTACCTGGGTATTTGGAAGAGGTTTTTTATTTTTATTTTTAAATTCTTTTTACAATAAAAAGCTATCTTTTTCATTAAGCAAAAGAAATTCATTGTAGAAAATAATTTAAACTCTAGGAAAAAGTCATTTGTTGTACATGCTAAGGAAAACCACTATTAATAGTTTAGTGTTTTTTCCTAATTGAAAGTGTTTTAAAACTAGAGTTGTACAGTTTAATTTTTGTAACTCACTTGGCCATAAACATGAACCTGCCATAAGCTGATATCATTAGAAAAGTATTTACCATGAAGGATTGTAGTAAACATGCATATCTAGGTATGGAATAAGACAGTAGAAAAGAACACCAAGGCATTCAAAGTAATTATCTCCTTCGATCTTTTAGGGGCTACATCAATGGACCCCTCAACCATACAGCACAATCATTCACTGCACCTAGTGTGACACATCGACTTCAAACAGACCACTCTGCTTTTTGCTTTGCTCTTCTCACTCAGAACAGTAGTATCATTTCACTCATTTTTCTGCCATTCTATGTCCATCAACACATTTAGAGAATTGTGCTTGATTACATCTTTAACACCTGGAACATTCCTTGATTCAGTATGCATTTAGCACTCTCCACTCATGTTTTTGGTAGACTAGCCCATGTTTCACACTGGGGAGGAAATGAATCCCTTTATGGACATATGTTTGGTTTACCATCTGGACTACAAGCTCTTCTGAGAACAAACTGTTTTCTCTTGCTTTAATGTCCCTCTGTGGAGATTATAAAAGCTTCTCCTCAGGGTAGATATCGTTATGTTTGCTAGTACTGTGAATAATATATAAGGTATCTTTGAATTTCTGTCTTAATATCTTCCCTATAGCTATTCCTCCTGGTTACTGAAAGACACATAGTTTATGAGTATAGGCCTTGATAACAGATAAGAAGCTCACAAGAAAGGGAAACATCACAACTAAATGGGAATGTAACAGGGAACCAAACAGGATGCAATATCATCATTATATATTAGTCCAAGAAAAGTACTCTGATAGCAAGCAAACCCTTTTTTCTGTTTTGACAATAACATCAATATGTGAAGATAACACAGAGATGAACTAATAAATACTAATAAATCCTTTATTTACCTAACTAAAAGGATTGGTCATGAGTTTTATTTACTTTAAATAATTAAAATACTATTAATTATATATTGCCTACTGGCACAACCATCAAATAAACTATATTATTCTTTCTTAATGCAGTTTTTTTTTTCAGTTGATACAAGAAGGGACAAAGGTGTCAAAGAAACAGAAACTTCCAGACATGAAAACAAATAATATGTTTTTTTCTTATTTAAATCACAAAAGTGCATTAAAAGGCAACAAAGCAAAAAAAAAAAAACAACAACAACAACAACAACAAAATGACTAAAAACAGCAAACTGTTTTTAAGCATTAATAATTTTAAAATAAGCTGGGGGCTTTGATATAACTGTAAGTAAAAGATAACTAAGTTCACGTCCACAAAAATTTACAACTGTAAAACATGCTTAGGGTAAACTTAGAATTTATTTTTAGATGAATATATGGTTCATTTGTAAGAAACTGGAAATCATATGGTTTTAAACTTGTATACAAAGCTTATGTCTTATTCTTAACACTGAAGAGGCAGGAATTTAGGGTTTTGGGTATACAGATCAGCAATTCCCCTGTAATTTTCTATCTTGTCTTGATCTCCAATTTCTCTGGAAAAACACTTCAGCTATTTTTCACTATCTGGTCCCTATGTTAACTGGCAATAAAAAGTAAAAAAAACTTAACATCTTCAAGGGTATCAAAGTTGGTCTGCAAAAGGTAATTTTAGTTTTGTTCAACGTAAGTCAAGGTGATATGAAAGCATTTATCCAGGAAGAGAGTTGAATTATCATTATTTTAAGTAGGGGACTAAGGGTTCTGTTTCCTGGTCCAAATCTAGTATCTCTATTGCGTGCTGCTAATACTTAGGTACCCATAATAGGTCTTTACACTCAGTTTCTGATTGTTAGTATATGCTTTAAGAAATTTATTTAAAGTTTGCTTTATCCTCAAGAGGCACACTTTTTAAGGAAAGTGTTAATTATGCTCCACATTAAATGACTTTACAACGACTGAATTACTTGAAAAGTTCTTTTAAAAATTGCTGAGGCCCAGGCACAGCAGTTCATGCCTGTAATCCCAGCGTTTTTGGAGGCTGAGGAGGAAGGGCTTGAAGCCAGAAGTTCAAGACCAGACTAAGTAGCAAAGCGAGACCCTGTCTTTACAAAAAATCAAAAAAATTAGGCGGGCATGGTGGTGCACACATGTAGTCCCAGCTACTCAGGAGGCTGAGGCGGGAGGATCTCCTGAGTCCAGGAGTTCGAGGTTGCAGTAAGCCAAGACTGCACCACTGCACTCCCACCTGGGTGACAGTGAGACTCTGTCTCAAAAAAAAAAAAAAAAAAAAATTGCTGATGAAACAAAGAAGGAACAAAGGAAAGCAGGAACAAACAGAAGAAAGGCATGGTCAAGAAATTTCCCCCAATTACTGTTTTCTCTTTTCCTTTATGTAGAAGACATATACTGCTAATTCAACCTTTACTACAAGATTGGCAAGCCCTAAGAATTCCTTTTAAAATATGGGATGTTTTTTATATCTATATGTATTCCTGCTCCTAAAAGAATGAAGAACAGACATTTCCACATGCAGCTCAATCACTTTTTAAACGATATTTACTTTTATCATTGCTTGGATGCATACAATGACTGAATGCTACATATTTCTAGTTATAAGAATAAAGGAGACCGGGCGCAGTAGCTCACACCTGTAATCCCAGCACTTTGGGAGGCCGACGCGGGCAGATCACAAGGTCAGGAGATTGAGACCATCCTGG
Organism: Homo sapiens; assembly: GCF_000001405.40. Classification (NCBI taxonomy): domain Eukaryota; kingdom Metazoa; phylum Chordata; class Mammalia; order Primates; family Hominidae; genus Homo; species Homo sapiens. Next base: position 448,833 of record NW_017852930.1, on the reverse strand, counting down.
CTAACATGGGGAAACCCCATCTCTACTAAAAATACAAAAAAATTAGCCAGGCGTGGCGGCAGGCGCCTGTAGTCCCAGCTACTTGGGAGGCTGAGGCTGGAGAATGGCGTGAACCCGGGAGGCAGAGCTTGCAGTGAGCCAGATCCCACCACTGCACTCCAGCCTGGGCGACAGAGTGAGACTTCATCTCAAAAAAAAAAAAAAAAAAAAAAAAGAATAAAAGAAGGTATTCATTTATGAAAATAAGTAGTTTTCCTGGAAGAGACCTTTAAAATCAATCTCTTTGGACATCAGAAGGTTTTTCCACTAAATGCAATGTCTGTGCTAGGGTGATATTACTGCACGGAAGCACCGGTAATAGTTTACAAACTTTGGTCAAAATAGGAGTTGGAGGTTAAAAACTGAAGGTGTTTGCCACTACTGATAGAGTGTTCTCAGTAGCTGCCTTCAGAATGCCACTTTTTAAATTTGGGGCTAACTAGCTTAAATAAACATTTGTATTTACGTTTTGTTTCCAATAATACACTTGGGAGAAAATGTTTCACTTAGATTTAAGTAACACAAAGGATAAGAAAATTCATATGGAAAACACCCTATTTTCCTCTAAAAAAAAAAATTGCTTTTTTTTAACTCAATTTTCAAATGTAAGATCTCTTTCTAAATCTTTCTTAAGCCTTGTCACCTTAACACCCTCAATATTTAGAAATCAATGAACATTTTTGAGTGGTACTGTGCACAAAGCATTGTACCACTGAATTCATCCAAATCATGCACTATTAATTGATATATTTTCTTAGTTCTTACCTTACTGAATTTAACTGGTTTAGGTCAACAGAACATGACCAAGGAAACACCTTCTTTAGAAACGGAACTCTGATCTTCTCAAGGTCATTACAAATGTTATTTTTTAAAAAAACTTAGGGTAAATAAAACATGTTCATAAAATATTATATGTCTTGCTGGAACCAAACAGGACACACTCGAACAGGTAAAATCTGCCTTTACCTGAACACTAATTCACTTTGAAAGTAGCTCTGCAGTCTATACTTCAAACACAGAAGCTGGTATCAGTTGTTATCAGATTGTAAACACAATGCTTACATTGTCAAAGAGTTCATTTTTTCTAAAATCTGATTTTGTCTTTTAAAGAAATGCTCATGTAATACTAAGTTAAGTTTTATGCCAGATTTAAAGAGTTAAAACTCAAAATATCTCAGAGCTGGAATTTTTGAAAGGTGAAAGGAGAAACTCAATTGTGCAGGGTTAAGAGAAGTGTAGCACACATACACTCTTGTCTATCTTTTATTTTTGTGCCACCCTGCTTACAACATAAGAAAAGAGATTCTTGGTGGATACAGAAAAAAGAAAGCAGGATTTTGAAAGAATATTTTTGTGTTTTGGAAATAGATGGTTTCATTCTTCAAAAGAATTGGTAGCAATATTTTATGCAGGGTTAAAAAAGAACACTAGTTTCTCTTCTGAAATGTCTGTTGTAAACGGTAGGTAACTATTAAATTCATTTTCATATAAACAATAACATTTCTTGATCATGTTCGAAATCTTTTGGAATTACAGAAAAGGCAACAGTACCAACTAGAAGATTCTTGAATTTTGGGCTATACTATGCCAACTACATAATATACCACTTTGTCTATAAGGGTAATTTATTTTTTAACTTATTGCTTCTGAACTGTCTTCTTTTTTTCACTTGAAATAATAAGGAGGAACGTGACTAAAGAATTTTGTATCACATAAATATTCTCCAGTGGATTTCTGTTCTATTCACAGAATTAGCTTTTATTTTTATGTTTTTCATCTCAAATTCAAATACACCCTGATTGAAGTAAACCCTATCCAAACAACGTACCTTAACACCAACTGAAAGTGAGGTTTCTCAGTGTCTGGCCAACATAAAAAACTATCTGTTGTATGCAGAAATGTTGCAAATCATCAAGCCACAAACTTACACTGAGTTTTCTTGGATGACACTGAATTTGGGTTATCTACTTTTCTGTGCTGTGCAGATGCAACAAAAATAATTTGTTCTTTGACTAAGAAAAAAACACTAGCAAAACTTTTTTTTTTAATGTAGAAGAAATTGCTGCCTTCAGGAAAATGGAGTTGGGATGCTCCACTTCAAGCCTACACTGCAATGTTATGTGGGAAGGAGGCACTCAAATTCTTAGCTGACATCCCAGATATTGTTGCCTACTCTGTGCCTACCCACCTCTTTCAAGGAACGCTTTCCTTATGTCTAACAGGTAGAATATATTAGTGCTTGAAATAAACAATATATTTTCTTGTAAGAAAACTGTTCCCCTACAATTGCTTCTCTGAGAGGAGGAATATACGATGATGGAAAAATGTGATTCTTTTTATAAAAACACATTTATAAACAACTTTTTAGGAACACAGCTCTTTTGCTAAGGCAAGAACATCTGTATTTACAACACAGATCTGAAACACCTACATGTTTTTCTGTATAACAGAGCATGTTTCTCTTGGCTGACATAATGTTTTATCTTCATATTTGAACAAGAATTTATAAATAGGTCATTCTCGGTATCTTAGAAGAACATTTAGGCATTAGTTTTGTTTTAGGAAAAACAGTGAAGTGTACAGCATAAAATATCATGCTAGTCTTTTTACTTTTTCACATGTACACAAAGTTACCATCTGAAGTCTTCCTTAATTCAGTTTTCAGTTTCTCCTGGTCTTCTACTAGTTTTTTATTTTCTGCTTCCAAAACACATTCTTCATCTTTACCATGGCTTTTCAAAATCTATTGCAAAAGGAGATACAGGAAGAAATAAGCTTAGATTGCAATAGCCAGACATTCTTACAGAAAATAAGCTGAGTAACCTATCTAAACTTACCTGTTTATAATTTATTCTTTGTCCTTTTCAGAATTTTATAGTTTTCTACAATGTACTTTTGCTAACAGAAACTTAATATTTGGGAAACACACAAAAAAGATTTCCTATTATGGCAAAATCTGTAAAATGAACATAAGAATTTCTAGTTGCTGTGATTAAAATAATATTCTCAAAAGTATTTAGGTAAATAACGTCAGTCTTTCTTCCTCAATTAATGAGAAATGTAAATCTAAGGGAAAAAAACAGTTCTGAGGATGATATTAATTAGAAAACCATTATGTTCTGATTGTAGAGCTATCTACTCAGCCTATTTTTATACAGACAAATTTGTAAGAGAAGAATATGTCAGAGTGGAGATGGGTAAGTGGGAAATGACAGGACCATTTCTACAGCTGGAAAGTTCTAATTTTCATTGAATAGTTTCCAAATTACTGTTATTCCATTAATCCTTTATAATGCTCTTTATATTTTAAAATTGATTCTGGCTTTAAAAATGTTAGTGTTTGTAGCTTATCTTTTCTAGGTAAGAAAAATTAAGATCCATATAGTAAAACAACTGATCAAAATAAAATTATCATGGAGTAAAAATTTAATCATCTGTATTGTGTACAGAAACTATAATTATCATCAGAACTAAGAAGCTGACTTAAAGAAATGATAAAGCATTTAAATTACCTAGAAAGACAAAGTAAATGTTTGAAAAACATAATATGTATACTGTTGTGGGTCAATAGATTAAATAAAGAGGCAGGCAGCTACTTTTTTTTCTTTTTTTTTTTTTAAGAAACAGGGTCTCACTCTGTCACCCAGGCTGGAGTACAGTGGTGCAACCCATAGTCTCTTCAGCCCTGACCTCCTGGGCTTAAGTGATCCTCCCATCTCAGCCTCTTGAGTAGCTGAGACTATAGGCGTGTGCCACCATGGCAGGCTAATTTTACAAAAAATTATATATATATATATGTGTGCATATATATATTTATATATATATATATAAAATTTATATATAATTTATATATAAAAATTATATATAAATATATATATAAAAATTATATATATTTATATATAAATATATATAATTATGTATATATATATTTATAAATATGTATTTATATACATATAAATTTTAATATATTTATATATTTATAAATATATATTTATATACATATAAATTTTTAATATATTTATATATTTATAAATATATATTTATATACATATAAATTTTTAATATATTTATATATTTATAAATATATTTTATATATATACAAATTTTTAATATAAATTTATATATATAAATTTGTAGATCTATAAATATATATAAATTTATAGATATATAAATTTATATATACACGTGTGCACATATATGTGCGTGCGTGTGTGTGTGTGTGTGTGTGTGTGTGTGTGTGTGTGTATACTGTATTGCCCAGGCTGGTCTTAAATTCCTGGCCTCAAGCAATCTTCTCACCTCAGCCTCCCAAAGTGCTAAGATGACAGGCATCAGCCACTGCACCTGGCCAGTGGCAGCAACTTGATACTGACAGGTTCTATAGTCAGGTAAAAAAGGAACACAGGAGAATTTTAAACAGACTAACATAAGAGGAATTTCACTGCAGGGTGATTCATTTTCTAATGTAAGCCAATATATTCATCAAAATACAAAGTTCTACTGAGCAATGACTACATGCAAATATTTTTACAATGTAAGGTGCTGTAAGAGATAAAAATATAAGAGAAACATGGTCTCTACTTTTGAATAACTTCAATCTAGTAGAAAGGACGAAACGAGCATAAAAACTGTAGCACAAGACCAAATACAGTACTACTGTGCTATATAGAGATTAGGCAGCTCAGAGAAGGAATTAAAGCTCTAATGCATATATTATATAATCCCAAGGACTGTTTTTTGGAGAAGGGAGGATTGAAATACATTCTGAAACTAAAGGAGCCTCATATCTTCTCAAATTAAAAGTTTTTCTTTTTTGTAAAGAGCAGCACAAGAAAAAAATTTCTCCAAATCTCTTTTAATGTGTTGCCTACTTCAAGTTGAAAACAACTCCAGCTATTACTTCACTGAATTCAGTTCATAAAATCTCCAGTGATTACCCAAATTAGAAGAGAATCATTGAGTTGCAGGAACGTTTTCGCTGACTGCTTGAATTTTCATGCCATTGACTTGGAAAAGGTGGATTTGTGTTAGTCTTGTAAATAAGCTTTCACTACTGCACCTGTAAACTTGCCTAAATTTATGATGTGTAACTTGACGCTGGAGAAAGACCAAGAACACTGAAATCTGAAATTTAATGATTACCAGCTACAACAATGCAAGCGTTCACTGTCTAATCCAAATTATCCCACCTTGGTTAAGTTACGTGGCTGGAAAAAAAAATCAGGACAAAGTAAAGCTCTATCACACTGAAGAAGTAAAATTAAAAGTTAATTGGTCTTTCATAATTATTTCATTTCTTTAACTGAATATCAGAACAGAAAGTGGTCATAGGTACCACGTGGAAATTGTTCTATCAGATAACATAGGAGTTGAGGGCACAAAATAATGTGGTTATGAATGTGGATTCTAGAGTCAGGCTGCTTAGGTTCAAATTTTAGTTCTGTCACATATTAGTTGAATGATCTTGTACAAGTCACTTAACCTTTCTATGCCTCCATTTCCTCATCTATAAAATGCAGATAATAACAATACCAAACTCAAGGGACTTTTGTGAAAATTAACAGTTAAAAACCTTGTTGTGAAGCATATGAAGCAATACCTGGCACAATGTTAACTATTATTTATAGCTAAGGAACTTTGAGGCCCATTAACATAGGTGATTTGTGCTAGGTCACATGTTGGAACTAGCACCTAAGTCTCTCGGATCTCAGGGTAATGCAGTTTCCACTGGATAATGTGTCTCTGATAGAGAATGAAGAGGTATGGCTGGGCGCGGTAACTCTTGCCTATAATCCCAGCACTTCTGGAGGCCAAGGTGGGAAGACTGCTTGAGGCCAAAAGTTTGAGATCAGTCTGGGGAGGAAGGGAGGGAAGGAGAGGAAAGGAAAGAAAGGAAGGAAGGACAAAACAAAGGGGGTGTTTTCACAAGCTTATCTTTCCTTAGCTTATTTTTCAAAACCTACATGAAGTACCTTGAAACAGACGTCATCTTTTATATTCTCACTTATGGCCTTTGTTGGTCACTTTATTGGTCAATTAGTTATACTCTGGGCACTGACAGCTGCTTTTATGTGCTGCTCAAAGACTTTCTCCCCACTGTGTACTGGCTTTAGCCCAGCATATCTGTGCCTCCTCTGATTGGGTCACAGCTATGCAGGAAGCAGCAAATCAGGACAGTATGGAAACAAAGGAGAGGAAAACAAACAAACAGAAAGAATAAATCACGCAGGGTCAAGGAATTGGTAATCATGACATAAGTTTCCTTGCATGGGTAAATGGTTCTGAAAACAATTCCAAGAGAAAAGTTGCAAAAGTATTTTGAGGAAGGTGCTTTTTTTAAAAGGGCAAGACTAATTTAAGTGTATTAAGTATGGTATGTATGAAAAAAATAACACTTTCCATTTTCTTAGAGCTAAAGAATAAGAGAAAAACAATTGAAGAGGAAAAAAAGCAGTGTTCTGATGGTTACAAATCATTACTCCAAAATGATGTGTATAATTTTAAATTAAGATATGTACATGATCAGTTGTTCTATAAATACAAGGCTGCGTGCTTTTGAGTTTAGTTAACACTATCAATCAAAGCTTTAATGACTGTGTTTTTATTTTTGCCACTGTGAAATGAGATCAAAAGATAGAAAATAAAGGAATAACATTAAAGATTTCAAATATTATGTGCAATTATCAATCTAGCATCAATGACGTTTCTCTGCTTTCTATAAACCAATCATTTAAAAGAAAACGAAAATCTAGGCTTAAAAATACTTTAACTGAAAAAGAAATAGAAACAGTTATAAAGACTTGCTTTAGATTATAAAGTAAACTTAACGGTAATGAAGGAATTAAAATTCATATTCCCAGAATACTATTTTCTCCTTAAATCACAGAAAATAGGTCCAATGGTATAAATCCACTATGGAGAAAAAGCAAATCTAAATAATAGTAAAAATATTAGTGTGAACAAGCATTTCTAAAGAACAGTAAAACTATTCTTGAAATAATCATTACATAAAATATTGTTAATTATGGTCATTTTCTGCTTATAAAATATAAAAATGCTCTTTTTGATGCTGAAAACAAATACATTACTCCTCGGGAACACCAACAACATTTAATTTTTACAAAGAAAATTAAATACCCTTTTTAGTTTTTCGTTTTCTTCCATAAATTTTTTGGCAGCCTTGTTAGTATTTTCTGCTTGAGTTTTAAGTACACCTTTGTTTGACAGTTCTTTTGCCAGTTGAGTAATAAGCGTAACCAGACGTCTCAAAACTCTAAGAAAAAAAACCAGAATAATGTATTACTGGCCAATCACCAGAAACTTATTTTAAAACAGTCATTGCCAAATTACTCCCCATTAGATATAGGTGTGGTGGTGGCAGATAATGTTTAGGCAGAACCCATTATTCTTTTTTTAATTCAAGTCTCTTAGTAAAAACAGGCCCGTGTCTCATTCCTTTGGAATCTTTGTTAGAAGACCAGCATTTAGAATACAGGTTCAGTGGTACTTATTTGTTTTCCTGTAGAAGGCTTTAGCTTGGAGGAATAGAAACAGGAAAATTTCAGACAGTGTGACAGGGCCAGTAGGAGAATTATTTTTTTTGGCCCAGTTCAAATTCTGCTATTTAAGGAACATTGTGTAAGGTCAAACAAGCCGAAGAACAGCTCATTCACATCCGTTTATGTGTAACTGCCATTGTTAGAAGAAATAGTGATGACTATCTTCAATTATTCATTCAGCAGACATTCCTTTACTCAGGAACTGCTAAGTGTTAAGACACTCTGCCAGGCACTGCAGACACAGCGGAAAACAGCAAAGTCCATGCCCTCAGGGGTTTAGCTCCTAGTTGTGGAAGCAAAAGTTAAAACAGTATTTAATTACAACCATGAATGACACTAGAAAATGAAGTATATATACATTCTTTGAGCACCTGTAAGAGAAGACCTACCTACTTTGTGGGTAGTGATGGCCACAGAAGGCTTTGAGAAAGAGGCTAATGGATGAGTAAGAGTTAGCCAGGAAATGAGGAAAGAAAAGAGTGTTCTGGCAAAAGGAAGAGCTTGTGTAAAGACCCTAAAATGGGAAAGAGTTAGGTACACCACAGAACTCAATCAATATCTGTTGCAAGATGGAATGAATGAATAAATGGTGAAGGTCTGTAAGGGTGGAATGTATTGTACATCTCAGAGACACGTATGAGACAAGGCTCCAAAGAGAGGCAGGAGCCTAATCATTCAGGGCCTTATGGACTGGGCAAACCTACAAGCTGTTAACTACTGTTTGTTATTTGGGTATATCATCTGAATTCTTTTACAAAGATGTTATAAAAAAATCTACAGGCCGGGCGCGTTGGCTCACATCTGTAATCCCAGCACTTTGGGAGGCCGAGGCGGGAGGATCATGAGGTCAGGAGATCGAGACCATCCTGGCTAACCCAGTGAAACCCTGTCTCTACTGAAAATACAAAAAAATTAGCAGGGCACAGTGGCAGGCGCCTGTACTCCCAGCTACTCAGGAGGCTGAGGCAGGAGAATGGTGTGAACCCAGGAGGTGGAGCTTGCAGTGAGCCGAGATCGCGCCACTGCACTCCAGTCTGGGCGACAAAGCGAGACTCCATCTTAAAAAACAAACAAACAAACAAACAAACAAAACTACAGTAGGCTGGGTACAGTGACTGTAATCTCCGTACTTTGGGAGGCTGAGGTGGGAGGATCACTTGAGGCCAGGAGTTTGAGACCAGTCTGGGCAACACAGTGAGACCCCATCTCTACAAAAAATTTAAAAATTAGCCCTACATGGTGGTGTGCCGCCTGTAGTCCTAGAAATGAGAGGTTGAAGAGGCAGGATCACTTGAACCCAGGAGTTTGAAGTTACAGTGAGCTATGAAGGCACCACTGCACTGCAGCCTGGGCAACAGAGCGAAAGGTTGTCTCTCTTAAAAAAAAAAAAAATCTACAGTAAAGGTGGACAAAATGAGAAAGGAAAGCATAAGTCATGTTTTTAAATTGTGCTTCTATTATTATTTTTTACTTACAGCCAAAAAAATAGGGAAAATCCAGAAATGTAAAGATTTCTTTGAGACCTAAAAAGTTTCATCTGTGTGTGTTCATAGGCATCAGGTCTGCTGGTGGAGCTCTTCTCAATGGTATGAACTGAGGAATATTTCCTTACTTCTCTCACAGCATCTATTACAGAACAAAAGAAAACAGTACTTTTGGCTTTTACGAATATAAGCTTGTTAAAAATGGAAAGCAGTTTTAGAAAAACTGACCAAACTTTTAAATAATGGACTTTAGGCAGAGGCGACCTTTATGTCATTCCGTCTACAGTACCCGGGAACTTTTCATGCTCAAAGTAGGTGCTCTATAAATGGACACTAGTAGCAAATTTTGAATTACTATAGCATTTTTAAAATTATTCATCTAGTACTTACCATCATTTTATTGTTTCTCATCTCTAACTACACTGCAAACTATTATCCTTTACATTTTCTGTCTCTAAGATGACTAAAATTCAGCCTATTGACAATGACAGATGTCATATCCCATTACAATCAATTCCAAGAGACTATCCCATTTCTCTTACTACACTAGCATTTTATTACATATTATTACTTTAAATGATTGAGATTTTCAAAATATTTGGTTATACTGAAATTTCCACTGGCATAAGTTTGTTAACATGGGATTTGATCTGTGGTGGCATACACTCCTCCGACTAGTGCATAGCAGCTGCTACTGGAAAGGTTCAGATAGCTGCTCCTTTGATGCTTTCAGTTCTGGGAAGTCTCAGATGCAGGGGAACCACTTCTTTCCAGTGGAAAATAGATATCAGCTTATAAGGGTCTACATTGAGTGCATTCTTAGTTCCTGGATTCTTGTATGTACTAGGGAAGGCATCTGCCTTATAAGGTCTCAAAAGCCAGTGGAAGTATATGAACAAGTTTGAATGCTCCCCTTTCATGCGACCAACAGAAGTCTTGGGTAAGAGTTATTGCCACACAAGGAGACTCCAGTTAGAAAACTGGGGCCTTTTTGACTACTATTTTATTTTTAGCAGCTTTATTGAGATGTAATTCACATACCATAAAAATTTACCTCTTTAAAATGTATAATTCAGTAGTTTTTAGTATATTCACAAAGTTGTATAACCATTACCACTATCTAATTTCAGAACATTTTGGTCACCCCACAAAGAAAATCTATACACATCCCTCAGCTCCTGGTGACCAGCAATCTGCTTTCTGTCTCTACAGAACTACCTGTTCTAGACATTTCATATAAACTGAATCATATACTATCTGCTCTTTTGTGTCTGGCTTCCTTCACTTAGCATAATGCTTTCAAAGTTCGTCTGCACTGTAGTATGTGTCAGTACTTCATTACTTTTATGGCTGAATAATATTCCATTGTATGAATGTGGTAACATTTGGTTTATCTATTCATTGGTTGATGGCATTGAGCTGTTTCCACCTTCCGGCTATTATGAATAACGCTGCTACGAACATTCATGTGCAAGTTTTATATCGACATGTGCTTTCATTTCTCTTGGTACATACCTAAGAGATGAACTGCTGGGCCATATGGTAACTCTATGTTTAATTTTTGAGGAACTGCCAAACTGTATTCCAAAGCAGCTGTACTACTTTACATTCCCACAAGCAGTGTATGTTGGTTCCAATTTCTCCATATCCTCAGCAACACTTGTTATTATATTTTTGATTATAGTCATCCTAGTGGGTGTAAAGTGGCATTTCTTTGTGGTTTTTATTTGCATTTCTCTGATAGCTAATGCTGTTGAACATCTTTTCATGTGCTTGTTGATCATTTGTATATCATCTTTGGAAAAATATCTATTCAGATCCTTTACCCATTTTTAAATTGGGTTATTTGCTTTATTTGTCTCCCAAATGTCTTTCATAGAATTTTTTTCAAACTGAGAATTTTATAATGGATACTCATTACATATAGTTATGTTTCTGTAGTCTCTTGACATATAATACTTTTTTAAAAAGGTGCCAGGCCAATTGTTTTCTAGAAAGTTCTCACATTCTGGCTGGGTGTGGTGGCTAACACCTGTAATCCCAGCACTTTGGGAGGCAGAGGCAGAAGGATAGCATGAGGCCAGGAGATGGAGACCAGCATGCGCAAAATGGCAAGACCCTGTCTCTTTTTTTAAATATTAAAAAAAAAATAAGCACAAAGAAAGTTCTCACATTCTGAATTTGTCTGAGTGTAGTCCAATTTCTTTCTCTAACTCCTGTATTTTTAGAAAACCAGAAGTCAGACTTGATTGGTTCTGCCAGGCCTCAGAAAGTAAAAATAAAATAAAACAAATACTTGATTGGATAAGGTTTAATACTTTTGGCAAGAATCCCTCATAGTTTATGCTGTGTAATGTTAGTTTGTCTCATACTTTTTGATGCTAAATTTGATTACTTAGTTAAGATGTAAGGGTTCTCCAGGGAAAAAGAACCAATAGGGTGTGTGTGTGTGTGTATGTGTGTATGGGGAAAAGTGGTACAGGGGGCAGACAGAGAGAGAAAGAGAGAGAGAGAGCTCGAGATTTATTTTAAGGAACTGGCTCATATGCTCGTAGAGGCTTGTTAAGTTTAAAATCTGGAGGGTAGACTGGCAGTCTGGAGATCCAGGGAAGAAATACATCTTGAGTCCAAAGGCAACCTGCGGTCAAAATTCCTTTTTGCTCAGAGGAGGTCAATCTTTGTTCTATTAAGGCTTTCAGCTGATTAGATAAAGCCCACTAACCTGTTTTTATTTTCCCCTTTACTGTTGAAATCTGGTAGTGTGAGTCTCCCAATTTTGTTATTTGTAAAGATTTTTTGACTGTTTTATGAGTTCTTTGCATGTCTGCATAAATTTTAGAAGCAACTGATCAACTGCTACAAAAATGCCTGTTGGGTTTCTGACAGGGACTGTGTTATGTCCGTAGAATTTTGGAAGAACAAACATTTTAATAATATTGAGTATTCCAACTGATGAAAAATCCCCATTTATTTTGATTTTCTTTCAGCAATGTTTTTGTAGTTTTCTGTATAGAGCTGTTGTGCCTCTTTTATAAAGTTTATTTCTAAGGTTTTTAGGCTTCTTGGTGTACTTAGAAAAGGAATTTTTAAAAATGTCATTTGCCTATTGTTTACTGCTTATAGTATAGAAATACAATTACTGATACACTGAATTTTTGTATACTGACCCACCTGTATTTTGTGACCCCACTATATTAATTTCTTTGACATAATAACTTTCTTGTAGATACTTTAGGATTATTTCTTTCTTTCTTTCTTTCTTTTTTTTTTTTTTTTCTGAGACAGGGTCTCGCTTTGTCACCCAGGCTGGAGTGCAGTGATGTGATCACGTCTCACTGCAGCCTTGACCTCTTGGGCTCAAGCAACTCTCCCACCTCAGCCTTTTGAGTAGCTGGGACTACAAGCATGAGCCACCATGCCTGGCTAATTTTTGTACTTTCTGGTAGAGACGGGGTTTAGCCATGTTGCCCAGGATGGTCTGCAACTCCTGAGCTTGAGCAATCTGCCCAACTCAGCCTCCTAAAGTGGTGGGATTACAGGAGTGAGCCACTGTGCCAGGCCAGGATTTTCTATATAAATAATCGTGTCATCTGCAAATAAGGATATTTTACTTCTTTCTTTGCAATCTTTAAGCCTTTCATTTCTTTCATGACTTATTATTACCCTGGCTAGGACATCTATTACTCAAATGAATAAACAGAGTGTAAATATCCTTGCCTTGTTTCCAATCTTATGGGGGAAGACTTTGATATTTAAGTATGATGCTAGCTTGAGGTTTTTTGTAGCTCTTCATCAGAATGAGAAATCTTCCTTCTAAATCTTTAAAAAACAACTGAGTGAATATTATTTTTTTCACTGTCAATATTCAATATAATGGGTAGATATTATTAAGGTGGAAACTAAAATCACCGATTTTAAATCTTTTTTAAAAATAAATATTCAAATCTATAATTTTTCCTTTAAGCAGTGCTTTAATGGCATCTTAAAATTTTAATATATTGTATTTTCATTATTGTTCAGTTAAAATATTTTCTAATTTCCTTTGTGAGTTCTTTGACCCAAGGATTACTAACAAGTCTTGTTTAATTTTCAAACATGTATAGGTTTTCCAGATTTCTGTTACTGATTTCTATTTTCATACTCTGTAGGGGCTGGGCACAGTAGCTCTCATCTGTAATCCCAGCATTTTGGGAACAGGAAGGATCACTTGAGGCCAGGAGTTTGAGACCAGCCTGGGCAACAAAGCGAAAGTCTGTCTCTATAAAACAACAAAAACAAAACCCCCATACTCTATATGATTCCAATCCTTGGTAGGACTTCAATCCTTTGTATTTATTGAGACTTGTTTTATGGCCCAGAATATAGTGTATCTTGGTGAAGAGAGTTTAGTATATTCATGTGCCCTTGCAAAGATTATGTACAGCAGGGGTCCCCAACACCTGGAGCCATGCACCTGTACTGCTCCACGGCCTGTCAGGAATTGGGCTGCACAGCAGGAGGTGATTGGCAGGCCAGTGAGCAAAGCTTCATCTGTATTTACAGCCACTCCTTATCGCTCACATTACTGCCCAAGCTATCAGATCAGTGGTGGCATTAGATTCTCATAGGAGTGGAAGCCCTTTTGTGAACTGCGCGTGCAAGGGATCTAGGTTGCATGCTTCTTATGAGAATCTAATGCCTGATGATCTGCCACCATCTCCCATCATCCCCAGATGAGAATGTCCAGTTGTAGGAAACAAGCTCAGGGCTCCCAGTGATTCTACATTACGGTGAGTTGCATAATTATTTCATTATATATTACAATGTAATAATAATAGAAATGAAGTGCATATAAATTTAATGTGCTTGAATCATCCCGAAACCATCCCCTGCTCCTGCATATGGAAAAACTGTCTTCCATGAAGCTGGTCCCTGGTGCCAAAAAGGGTGGGGACTGCTGATGTACAGTTTACAGCTGTTTAGAGAGGCTTGATTTTTATACTTTTTTAGGGTAAGTCTATTTTGCTTTAGGCCTTAGTTATAGTAAATTTCTAATTCCTGGGATATAGTCTCTATTCCTAAGGAGTAGCCCTTCTGTGATTTTAGTGGAAAGGTTCAAGGTCTTTACCAAGCCCCTCTAACGTGATGAGGCTCATACTCCAAACTCTGTCTCTCCTTGGTGGCCAGCAGCCAAAATTTCTTCTCAGCCTTGCTGCTTTTTGCTGGCTGTTCCTTTTCATTGATTTCCTTGGAATCTTTCCTACACATCCATGGTTGAAGAGTCAACCAAGAATTTAAGGGGAGTTTACATGTGGATTTTGGGGTTCCCTTTTTGGGTTCTCTCCTTTCTTAGACATCCTTCTTATTTTTGAATCTATCTGACCTCTGACCCCTTAAGTCAGTTAAGACTGTCTTTTTGCTTTGAGTTCTATATCGTTGTCTATGCCACATGACTGGAAAGCGGTTGGAAGAAAGGCTATATAAATGTGATCACACCCAGTATGATTCCCTTCTTTTAAGGGTTGACGTCCCTCTAGTTTCTGCCTGCTTTTGGTTGCTCTACAAGGCCTTCAAATACCTTTTTTCGTATTTTATCGAGGGTTCATAATTTTTAACACAGGAGAAATAGTCTAATACAACCCGTTTTGCTATGAACAAAGCCAGACTCCTATGTCTTTAACAAAATTGTTTTAATTTATTGAGGCAAAATTCATATAACATAAAAGTAAACACTTTAAAGTGAACAATTCAGTCATGCTTAGTATATTCACAATGCTGTGCAACTACCACCTCTATCTAGTTCCACATTTCCATACTCCAAAATAAAACCCAAATAAATCACTCTAAAACTTAAAAAATCCTTAATTTTTGACTTTATATTTGTATGCCATATCTATTCCTGAAAGTCTTAGTTTCTAATACCATGAACATACTAATTTGCTTGATGCTGCACTATACATAAAACAGCTTTTAAATTACCAACAATAAAACTATTATAAAGTTTCAGATTTCATTGTAATCCTCTTGGTTCTTAAAATGTACCCTACCAGCGAGGTAAAAAGTTAAGAGTACTATGTTCAAGAGTAATTATTTTTCTCTGTGTTATATATTGCAATCTGATGTACTATTCAGTTCATTTGTTCTGACTTATTTTCAATTCTACAGCTTGCTTTTTTCTAGCTCTGTACAATTTGAAGTTTAAATTCTAGAACAGTTTAAGAAGCAGTAGTAATATCTGTTTTCTGAAAGCAGTAGGGTTTCTTATAAAACTATCTGGTTTTTTGCTTTTTTTTTCAAATAGGGGTCCTTTTTGATAACTTTCTATAATTTTTCTATATAAATTAGTCTGCTTAAATTTTCTATATCTACTGGTGTTCATTTGGTAAATCATATTTTTCTACAAAATTATACATTTTATCTAGGTTTTCCAATTTATTTGCATAGTTATATAAAGTAGTCTCTTAAATGATCTTTAGAAAATTTCCTGTATCTTAATGGCTATTTCCCCTTTGTCATTTCTCAGATTGCCTCAATAATATAGTAAGAGCATGCCAACCACTACCAAAAAACCAACAAAGATAATATATATTTACGACTTATTTTAAATAGGCAAATAGTGAGTACTATGAAGGATCATTATGCTTCGTGATTCATCTTCCTTGGTAATTAAATGGGAATAATACTCCTGAATCCATTATGCAGAAAAGCTGAAGATTAACCAATAATATTAAAAAGGTTTATTAATGTCAATGGTCATGTAAACATACCTGTAGAATACATCACCTGTATACTAAAAAGGTAACTATGTCTGAAAAATGGAATGGAGTCAACAATAAGGGAAGGATGTGACATATAGTCAATTTTCTATAAACCACCTGAAGATGATCCAATTTTAGATCAGTTATGGAAACTTTCAAATTCCTGGGATGCATTTCTGCTAACACTAAACACACTCTTGAAATTCCCACTTCCATTCTGTCTCTTACCAGCACCTAAAATACACACACATGCACACACACTTGTATGCACACACTCAGTTAGTGTTGGCTCTAAGAATACAAACACTTCTTAATAGCTACCTTATTTTGGCTGGGTGCAGTGGCTCATGCCTGTAATCCCAGCACTTTGGGAAGCCGAAGTGGGCGGATCGCTTTGAGCTCAGGAGTTTGGGACCAGCCTGGGAAACATGACAAAACCCTGTCTCTATTAAAAAAAACAAAAATTAGCCAGGGGTTGGTGGCTCTCGCCTGTAGTCCCAGCTACTTGGGAGGCTGCAGCTGGAGAATTACTTGAGCCTGGAAAGTGGAGGTTGCAGTGAGCTGAGATCGCACCACTGCATTTCAGCCTTGGTGACAGAGTGAGACCCCGTCACAAAAAAAAAAAAAAAAAGAATAAATACATATAAAAAGAAAATGTATAAAAAAGTTACCTTATTTAGAGAGATAACCAAGAAAAAGGAAATAAATTTCCAAGTAAAATATAAATTAAGCATGAGTAATCCACTGGTTTTGCATTATTTACATCGTTGTGGACTCGAACATCAGACTCTGCACTTTACATATGTTACTGCGTTTAAATCTTAAAACACGAAAGTAGGTGTCATTACTCCATTTTGGATGGAGACCTAGAGGATAAGCACCTATCTGGTTGCCTTAACTATCCATGATGTCCTTGTTCTCTGGGAATTAATTGCCCTGTTTACCCAAAGATGCAGGCTTCAGCCAGCAGTCATGATTCTCCCTTGTGACCTTCCTGGTTATAGGAGATGAGGAGTAGATAACTGGTACTAGCTGGTCCAATTTTTTTTCCTTTGATGTGGAATTGGGATTCAGAGATGATGAATTAACCCTTGCATACGTCTGGAATGGGTACCACACCTGGCAGCTGTGTGGTACCCATTTACTGCCTTGGAGATAGACAGAATATCAGAGTCCATAATAAAAAAGAATGAAGTATATATAGGAAAAATGTATATGGCCAAGAAAAGGACATTTCAGTTCCAAGTACTAATCCCTCCCTGGAATTTGGCTTCCTTCCTTTCTTGGGCTACTCTGCAACAGCCCCGTATTTTATTACAAATTTTTCCTTTTTTAGTCAAGCGAGTTCAAGTTGGTTTCTTTTTTTTTGAGACGGAGTTTCACTCTTGTCACCCAGGCTGCAGTGCAATGGCGCGATCTCGGCTCACTGCAACCTCTGCCTCTCGGGTGCAAACAATTCTCCTGCCTCAGTTTCCTGAGTAGCTGGGATTACAGGCACGCGCCCCCATGCCCGGCTAATTTTTGTATTTTTGGTAGAGACAGGGTTTCACCACGTTGGCCAAGCTGGTCTGGAATTCCTGACCTTAGGTTGATCCACCTGCCTTGGTCTTTCGAAGTGCTGAGATTACAGAGGTGAGCCGCCGCGCCCGGCCAAGTTTGTTTCTAATGTAACCAAAAGAACTTATACTACAACTCCCCTCCCTTACATGATAAGTGACAGTTTTCAATAGAAATTTTTGTGATAATTTTAGAGTTAGAAGATCATAAAATCAGGAGCTGCAGAGATTCTTTCCATCTCTCCCTTTATTTCACAAGATGAATAAATCAAACCCAGGAAATAAAAGCCATTTCAAAGGTCCTTTAGTTAGCTGGTGGCAGAACTGGAACCGGTTTTCCTTATTGTTCTTTACTGACTTCTCATAACTAGTTATATGGCTAGAGATTCAATCCATAACATTAATAATGTACCATGAGACAAATATTTACATCTTGAAAAGAGGCACAAATCATTCACACCTTTCTGTTTTTGACAATACCATCCCTTCTCATACCAGATGTTCTTAGTTTTATAAAGAGGATTCTATTTGAGAGATTGGTGGTTTGGAACATGGAAGACATTTTCTCACAAAACAGTGTCAAAGATGGCGGTTAGGGTCCCAAGTTCGCCTCTCTAAATCCTATTTAACCAACAACACAACAACTCTGAGGGAATTCTGAGGGAAAACATACTCTGTGCAAGAAGGGGCATTTCAAGAAGTAGCTAGATAATCTTAGACAAGTCACTCAATTTCTCTGAGCTCAGTAACAACTGGAAAAACATGGTGATTACTAAGACTCATGGAACTTCTGGTTTGACAAGAACCTAAAGGTCTACTTTTAATTTTTAAAATACTGTTACCATGAAAATTTAAAACATGCTGAAAAACGAGTACAGACATTATGTAAACAAATGGGCATGGTCATTTCCCAATAAAACTTTATTTACAAAAATAGGTATTTGGCCCACAGGCTATATAGGTTGCTGACCCTGCTATGTAACAATGCTGTTATCACAACTAAAGTTAACAAAAATTCCCTAATATTATACAATCACTCCATATTCAAATTTTTGCGGTAGTCCCCAAATCTATGTTGCAGTTTTGTTTGTTTGTTTGTTTTTTTAAGGAAGGATCTTGCTCTGTTGCTCAGGCTGGAGTGCAATAGTTCACTGCAAACTTGAACTTCTGGGCTCAGGCAATCCTCCAGTCTCTCAGCCTCCCGAGTAGCTGGGACTATGGGTGCACATCACCACACCTGGCTAATTTTTACATTTTTGTAAAGATAAGGTTTTGCTATGTTGCCCAGGCTAGTCTCAAACTCCTGGACTCAGGCAATCCTCCCGCCTTGGCCTCCCAAAGTGCTAGGATTACAGGCCTGAGCCACCTCGCCCGGCCATGTTTATTTTTTAATCCAGTCCAAATGCACACCCTGCATCTAAGACTCCTTTGGAGAGCCTAATGATTCTATTCTTTTATTTGCCTTTCTAACAGCTAAGCTCCTGGGTGCCTAGGACATCACAGTAACAAAGGAGAGACAACACCATGAAAAATAAAGTCTGGTAACTCTGAACAGCAAGGTATGCATTAATATACAGCATTTAAATCTTAAAATAACCTAGAAGGGGTTAAGAATCATTGTGCCCTGTTGAAACTTAAGCTTGAACATACAGAATGGTAGTATCTATCAACTGTGTATCAATAGATCAGTATCCACTCTATGTACTATCAATATACTATATAAAGTCAACTGTACACCAATTGTAACATCAACTCTATTAATTAAAAAGAAATTCATTTAAAAAAAGTTATATTTATTCAAAGAAGGGATCTAGTACTTACCTAGAAATAGAACAATCAATAGGATGATAATGGTAAGGAAAGCCTTGTTCCAAAAAGTTGCAATTTTACCCCAGACATTAAATGAAAAAATCTTCTGCCATCTGTAAAGCAATACAATTATATTAGGTATAAAAAAACTAAAATAAAGTTTTGAAATACTTTTTAAATACTGAAGTAACATTTTAGTAATTGTGTAGCAAGTGAAAATTACAGAAATTTAATTTTAAAATTTATTAATTCTGACATGACAGAATATCTCATGAATTAAAAAACAACTCTTTCAAATTTAATAATAACCTGATATTTGATTATCCTCTGTCTGGTGGCTTAAATATTCTAAAAGTAAACCATACATGAGCAAAACCTTAAAAAGGAATTCTTGCAGTAGTAAAATATTATATTGTTGATAGAAGCTACTACTCTGTATCTTTTTCATGGTCAGAGAAATGACTTAGAAATAAAGATATATTGTTCTAACAATTGGCAACATTTCAGGAGTGGGGTCTAACTCTGCATACTGATTTTTATATAGTACAATTTTAACGTATACTCCAACTAAAAGTTTCTCTACTTTAACCATGAGGGAATTATAAAAACTACCCAGGTATTATACACATAAATTGAAAAAATCTTAAATATGTAGCTTGATAATTTTCACACACACACTATATATATATATATAAAACCATGTAATTACTACAGATAAAGATGTGAACATAGAGGAAATGAGATGGGGAAATAGTCTAGGTGGATTGAACAGTATAAACAAAGACAGTGGTAAGAAAGCATGGGTTATAAATGGCAAAGTGGCAAAATAATCCATCACGCAATAGGAAAGGTAACAAACTTTGTACAAGGGCAATTTAAATGAGTAACACTTTAGTTGAAAGGAGGCAGAAAAATGTAGTAAGCACTTAAATAGCTTCAAGCACTTACAACTTGAAAAAAACAGTTTCACTTTAAGATTAGGACACATTTAAGATTTAAGATTAGGACAACTTCAAGTAACTACTTGAAATTGGTGGGTTGAGGGAGATTCATACAGATGAATCGGTTCATTTTGTCTCTGCTTCCAAGTCCAAGCATTTTATACAGCCAATATTTAAATTATGCAATATAAAATTTTATATTTTTAAGAGAACATAAGTGGTAATACCTTGATCTAGGTCCAAATGTAAATTTACTTATTTCTTCAAGGTTTGGTGTGGTGTAAAAGGGAATGTAAGAGATCTCTCATAGGGAACAACTAGCAGTTGAGCACCTTATCATAGCTAATACCTATTGTGTTCTCACTATATTATGGTTCTAAGTACTTTTACATGTTTTATCTCATTTAATTACAACAACTACCGTAAGGGGTAGACACTAGTACTACCTCCATTTTACAGATGGGGAAACAGATCAGAGAGGATCAAGAGCATGCCCAAGGTTAGTAACATGCAGTTATAGGTGACCTGATTTCTGAGCATGTGCCTTTAACCACTGGGTTATGTAAGAAAATAATAGAGACTAAATGATGAAATATTTTCTTTAAAGATTATGGTGATACAAATATAAAAGATAAAAAGATGTGGATACACACATAGGACATATTGTAAATGATCTGCGTGCATACATACCGTATTTTCTTTATATCTGTACATGAGAACACATTTATATATCATATGCAAATATACACACATCTATCTAATAGCTACTTGATCAGGATGGGTAAAATTTTTATTTGGCAGGAAGAAAAATATTGATCCATAAGTTACAGATCACTCTGATGGAGTAAAGATCAACTGACAATTTTTCCTTCTTTGCAAACCCTTAAGCCTTATCTATAAATTAGATGTTTATATACAAAATCTTTCTTTCTCTTGAGTATATAGGATTCTATCATTGCAAATATTACCAAAAAGCAAAACAGGGTGTTACTGAGTTTGAAACAAAACCTACAGGATGAGAGGCAGCATGATGGAGTAGAAAGAACACTGGACTAAGAGCCAGATTTTTTTCTAGAATCTGTCACTTACCAGCTAGGTAACCGTAGGCTACTTGCCCTCCTGGGTCTCAGTACGTGATATATAGAACATGGGTGGAATGGATCAAATAAGATCAAAGACCCTACAGTATGATTCAATTTTTTTTCTTTAGTAAGAAACAACTTACTGAGCTTAGCTTAGCTGATAGAGAAGGACAGAAGAGAGCAGAAATCCAGGCAGGTAAGGAGCAAGTTAGGAGTTGTGAAAGACTATCTGGACCCTGAGCTAAGGTGAAACTTTAAGAAGTTTCTCCCAGTCCTGGGATTTTAATACACTTTAGTGGGTTATCTCTAGGATCTCACTTATGAAATACTTTCTTTTATGCCAGGAGTATGAACAAATATCTTGCAATATTTTTATTACATGTGTATTTCCCCATTCATACTATCAAATTTCTGGATCTAAAATTAAACGACTAAAAAGTAGATTACTGCAAGGGTAAAATGAACCACTGCTTGGCTTGAAACACTGTACTTGGTTCTTCAAGACCTTAGAAGTTCCGTCACTAACGAACTAATGCTAATACATGGTTGTGATACTTTTCACATTCAGCACTTTTAATATACATTCATTAATTTTATGTGAAATCAAAAGTAGTAAAATTGTCATTAATGAAACTAACGGTTACAAAGGCGAAAACTAAGAATAATTTATTGGCTTTGGTTTCTAAATTGCTGTTCCAGTGCCTCAGTGAAACACTTTTACACCCATGCTGTACTGTAAACATGATTTATCCACTTATATTTATTTAGTTCATGGCTCCAATTCAGGGCAATAAAACAAAGGTAAAACCTGAGACAAGGCAGGGCAGGTGTTAAAAGTATAATCGTTGCTTTATTATATCTGTAATCAACAGAATCAAAAGTATAGGCGCCTTTTCTTTTAGAAGGGAAGAAAAAGTTATTTCACTTGTACACGTAACAGAGTTTTATATAAAATGTTATTTTAATATTGTCATTATATACTACCTAATTCGTTAGGTGAGTTTATTTTCAAAGACTTTCGAAACTTTTTAATGTTCAGAAAACTTTTTCCATTTTACATTAAGAGCGATCCAATATTTATTAGTTAACGATTTGAAGGTTTCCTACCTCTGAGGAGGAATAAAAGGTAGGCAGAAGATTAAAATGAGTCCTATTTCGGCATAAAGAAAGGTTGCCACTGCAGCCCATTGGAGTGTCATTTTTTTCTTCACACCTAAATGGAAAAACACTTATTTTCTCTTGCTTCCTTTCAAACAAAACCGGGTTCAAGGCCCCGAGGCGCAGCGTTTTTGTCCAGGGGATGGACAGTGTTCCACCTTCCCCCACCTGGGAAGGCAAGCACGGACCCCGGTCAGGAAGGGGAAAAGGGTGGCCCGGGAAGCGGGTGTCGCCACCTCCCTGGGAGTCGTGGGAACTGGCGAGGCGGCTCGCTGGCCACTGCCTTTTCCGCCAGCTTCGCGGCGACAGAAGCCCAACGCCTCCCTCCACCAACGCCCGGCTTCCCGGCCCTCCCGCTCCCAGAAGGCGCCGCGGGCCCTCGACCACCGCGCCGCGGACCGGGCCGGGCCGGGTCGGGCCAGGCCAGCTCCGCGGGGTTCTCCAGACCAGGCAGCGGCGCTCTCCCTCCGCGGCCTACGCCCCACGGGTCCCCGGGTCGCAGAAGCCCTTACCCGCCGGCAGCCCGCCTGGCTCCCTGCGCTGCTCCGCGGCCGCCGACGCGCGGGACGTCAGACGCCGCGGCTGGGCGGGGGAGGGGAGCCAGGGCCCCACCCCGCCTCACGCCCCGCAGGCTCCCGCCCGCGGGTCCGTCCCGGCTGAGGTCACAGGCGGCGCGACCACGTTTATTGGCAACAGTTGTTTTCTAATTGGCGGCAGGTCAGAGAATGAGTTAGACTTTTGACCTGATGCTTGGAGGTCGGAGCGCAACTTCTTCAGGAGGACAGACTTTCCACTGCTAAGTGCGGCCCCGGCGGGAGGGTGCCGGGGTCCAGGTCTAAGGAGCGGCGCCGGGCGGCGGGGCTGGATTGGGTGGTGCAAATTCAGCGAACGCGCTTAAGACGCACTCCTTTCCGGTCACCTACTCTCTCTTCATGGTGGGAACTGTTTGTGTCCAGAATTAAGCTATATTTAATAAAGGGCCAGGATGAGGTGGTCGTGCAGCATTTTGTTCTGGAGAACCTAGGATCAACTGTATGTCACAACATATTCCGTAGGCGTTCCCGTTCCCGTCCATGGGCTGGGAAGAGACAGTAAACTTTACCGTGATGTTTGGGGACTGGTACGAAAGGTGGGTATGGGGATATTCTTTCACTATTTTCCAGCTTTTCAAACTGTGCGTGTACATTTAAGTTGTTGAGTTTTTTCAATATTGACAACGTATCAGGAATTTAATAAAAGTACTATCCTGGTAACAATTATTTGGGGAATAGTAAATAAATGTTGAAAATTGATAATTATAGAATATAAAACATTCAAAAACACATTTAAGTTGGTGCTTTTTCTTAATTTATCACTAATATTCTGGATCACATGTAACAGAAAAAATAGAAAAATAGACTTTGAACATAAATTAACCATAAGGAAGATTTTTTTTTTTTTTTTGAGATGGAGTCTCCCAATGTCGCCCAGGCTGGATTGTGGTGGTGCGATCTCGGCTCACTGTAGCCTCTGCCTCCCAGGTTCAAGTGATTCTCTGGCCCCAGTCTCCAGAGTGGCTGGGATTACAGGCGCCTGCCACCATGCCTAGCTAATTGTTGTATTTTTAGCAGAGACAGGGTTTCACCATGTTGGCCAGGCTGGTCTCGAACTCCTGGACTCAAGTGATCTGCCTGCCTTGGCCTCCCAAACTGTTGGGATTACAGGTGTGAGCCACCGCGCCTAGCCAGGAAGTTACTTTTTTTTTTTTTTTTTTGAGACAGAGTCTTGCTCTGTTGCCCAGGCAGGAGTGCAGTGGCGCAATCTCAGCTCACTGCAAGCTCCACCTCCCAGGTTCACACCATTCTCCTGCCTCAGCCTCCTGAGTAGCTGGGACTATAGGCGCCCGCCACCACGCCCAGCTAATTTTTGTATTTTTAGTAGAGACGGGGTTTCACCGTGTTATCCAGGATGGTCTTGATCTCCTGACCTCGTGATCTGCCCGTCTTGGCCTCCCAAAGTGCTGGGATCACAGGCGTGAGCCACCGCGCCCGGCCAGGAAGTTACTTTTAATCAAAAGTGTTAGAACTTCTTGCCCATCCACGCTGGTTCCTTCCAAACACCGAGCACATTACTCTAGTGATGATGCTGTGCTCACAACACTAGGGTAATTCAATTCAGAGTTCTGACCATACCTCCCTATTTTGTACAGTATTCATAGAAAATGAAACAGCGAGTTATCTTTAAAAAAAAAAATGCATTAACTGAAAAGTGAAAACAGAATGTACTGAGAAAAAAGATGGCACCACAGTGCTTATGTTAAAATGGATTCATTCAATATTCCCAAACGTGAATTAAACAGTTTTACATAATTGTTTCCTTATAACAGTTTTCATGTTGGCAAAACAAAATAATACTTTAATTATGAACGGTTTTATTTCAGTCTGAGATACTTAATTCTTGCAGTGCATGCCCACCGATAACAAAATCTATTAATAACACTCCAAAACCATGGGACTTTAAAGTTACAATCAACGGCTGAGAGGCACAAAAGTAATTAGGTTTTAAAGTTAAAAACAAAACCTGGTTACTATTCTCTAGGAAATATTTCAAATATATAATCATCTCCAGGTTGGACACCAAATTTCCTATACTTAAGATATGGTAGATTGCAATTAATTTTATCTTTTTAGGTAGGAGATTATTAAGCTTTCAATCTTTGGAGGACCTAGAAGTTTTGAAATGTACCAAATTTAATGTCATTAACCAAATGGAATTTTTAATATAAGTTCTGAGTGCAATTCTATTCAGAATTTCCTGTTCTTTTTCATTTTGGATGGATGTTGGTATTTGTTCCACCACTTTTTTGCACCTGCATACTTCTTGTTAATTTATAGATACTATAAGCCATAATTTCTTAGTATTAAATTTTATTTTAAAATGTTAAAAACATGATTAGGAAAAAATTCCCACTCTACCCATCCCCCCAATATCTATAGAACAGGATTCAGAGCAGTATTTGTCAATGTTTGCCTAGGATGATCAGGATGTTTGAACCACTGGGAGTTTTCTTTAAACTGTGTATTTCTGGGTCTACTCCAGATCTACCTAATCAGAATCTCTGAGGGTGGTGTCTACAACTGATTTTTAAAAAACGCTCCCAGGAATTGTTTTTATACTAAAATTTGAGAGCTACTGGTTTAAGGTACAAAATATGACCTTCTGTGGTTTCACTGTGGGTCTAAAAGTATATATTAAAATTATTTGGGAAGTCTAGTCAAATGCCATAATGGTCTGTAAGGTAATCTATGATTGCTGATGTGCTTGACAGAGCATTAAATACCCTTTTTTCCTGCCTTGAAGTTATCTTTTCCATCATGTACATTAAATGTTGATGGAAACACATGTAAGGAGTCCCGAGTTCAAGAGCAATGTCAACCCAGTCCCAGATGCATTTCAGTGGGGTTTCCTCATATCCAGCAAACATGGCCGGGTTTGCTAAGAGTCCTCTTGCAACCATCACACCTACAAATTAAAGCACACCATATTTGTCCATACATTAAGAACCCCTGGTTATTAGTTCAAGCTCAATGAAGCAAACAGTATATTTTTAAAAAGTATTATCACAAGGTTTTGTAATGTCTTTATTGCATTAATATGTTTAATCCGATTACAAAAGAATTAATTTTGGTACCTTTTGTAAACCAGGAAAGTTTAAATGTACGTACAGAAATCTTTATTTTTTAAAGATTTCTACATTAAACCATTAGTCTTTAGTTTTTCTTTAGGGTAAATCTGGATTGTCATAAATTGGGCTGCTTAAAGTTCAGTTTATCTATATTCTCCCATCTAGCAATTATAGGGCTTGGCATGCCAATAATTTAAGGGAATAATGAAACTGCATAGCAGTTCTGGGATTCCTTTAGCTCTTATCATTCTCGAGTTCACTTACTCTTATTTCTAGGTGCTTTATTTTACTAGTAGGCTATCTGGAAAATTCTTCACTGGTCACTAGATATGATGGTGTCAGAAAAGTAACTGAATTAATTTATCCCAGTTAAGATAATCCATGTTTTTCTAGGTAGAAAACTTAACATCATTTTAATAAATCGCTTAGCTTAAAACAGTACAATGGGAAAATATGGCTTAATGTTAAACAAAACAAATGAAAATCAAATTAACATTACTTCCCCACTCTCATTTCTTCCCCCCCCAATTAAAAGAACCCAAGTACTTATTTCTTACCATCTGTCCCAGTAATCCGCCACACATTTTCTGCTTCCTTTAAGCTTCTGATGTCTCCATTAGCAATTACAGGTATAGACATATTTTCCTTAATTATTTTAATGGAATCATAGTGCACTGGCTGATGTCTTTCTTCAGCAGTTCTTCCATGGACTGTAATCCATGAAACTCCTGTTGCTTCAGCCTTTTGACAAAGATCTACAGTTCTTTTAAGGTCATCATGGATCCTACAATTTCAAAATTACATTTATCTGTTCACAGCACACAAATCTTAATGCTAACATTAACTGACTAAAATGGTATTTCATCTACCAAATTAGTTAGCTTTGCTATATCATATTATTACTCTATGTCATTATCAGCAAGGTTTTCTTCAGGGAGCAGTTCCTACACAAGACCTCAAATTTAGCTATTTCACTATTGACAACAAAGGACAAAAAACAAGTTTTATCTTAGACCTAGTGCTTCTATGTTTTGGCTTTGATAAATGAAAGACCCATGAAAGTACTGTCACAGATGAATTTAAACCTTAATATTTGCTGTGCATGCCCCCATCCCCCAGTGGGAGAATATAATACTTTATCTTGAAATATGTTTTCAGGCTGGGCACCGTGGCTCACTCCTGTAATCCCAGCACATTGAGAGGCTGAGGCAGGTGGATCACTTGAGGCCAGGAGCTCAGGACTGGCCTGGCCAACGTGGCGAAACCTCGTTTCTACTAAAAAATACAAAAATTAGCGAGGTGTGGTGACACACACCTGTAATCCCAACTACTTGAGAGGCTGAGGCATGAGAATTGCTTGAACCTGGGAGGCAGGGGTTGCAGTGAGCCAAGATTGTGCCACTGCACTCCAGCCTGGGCAACAGAGTGAGACTCTGTCTCAAAAAAAGAAATATGTTTTCAACCTGTCACGGAAAAACTGATTCCTGGTTTATTTTCTTTTCATTGTGAAATTTTAGTGCAAATATTTTTCCTATTTTCTACACTTGGCACCAGTAATGTTTCTTAACATTAAATACTACATAGCTAAAGTTGAAAGTTTGGTGAAACTTAAAGGGAGGCTTTAACTTTTGTTAAAAGTACAAAGAGGAAGTTTTTCAGGACTATAAATGAAAATTATGGTATATATTCTTTTACTAAATGTCTTATTTTCAACATTTCCATACACCAGCTACCAATTTATTTAGGATAGATACTCCCAACAGCATCAGACAAAAGCAATAATCTTTCATTTCCTAAGTAATGGATTATCCTATCAATAGATTGAAATATTGTCTTTACCTTATTTTAATAGAAACTGAAAATCCAGGGGTTTCCACTTGATTTCTTACTTGTTTCACCATGTCTTGAACAAGCTCTGGCTTGTTTATTAAGCAAGCCCCATAACCTTCTGCCATTGCCCACCTTTGTAAAGCAAACACATGAACAAGTGAATTATAAATAACTGGAAGAGAAGACAAAATTCTGAAAGCACTGAAATGTAAGTGCATCCATTTCTCTAGTGATCTGGAAGAGAAGCAGATATAAAAAATTCATAGATTCAACATTTCTAAGTGGATCAATATGAGATTAGGAAAACATGTTCCCAGATCAAAAAGTACTCAGGAGAAATGGTTTTCATTGGCAAGTGAGAATATTAAGTTAAAAGTCATTCAACCAAAACAGGTTTAAATATTTGAAGTAATTGCAATGACTTCAGATTTTAAAAATTCCAAATTTGATGTTTATTGTGCATAACAAGAGGTTTTATTAGTCTCAATAGTAGAAAGATATTTTTGGCTTACAGCATTCCAATACCACTAAACAGCTAATTTAACCCTCCTAATGAGTATACAAATATGTCTAATCTGATTTCGATTACGCTATACTTAACAACTTTGCTTTTATTCTTTGGACACATTTTGAATTACTGATAATCTACTACAGTGCCAGTAAAGTAGAACTATTATTGTCAGGCTGGGCGCGGTGGCTCAGGCCTGTAATCCCAGCACTTTGGGAGGCCAAGGCGGGCGGATCACCTGAGGTTGGGAGTTTGCAACCAGCCTGACCAACATAGAGAAACCCCGTCTCTACTAAAAATACAAAATTAGCCTGGCGTGGTGGTGCATGGCTGTAATCCCAGCTACTCAGGAGGCTGAGGCAGGAGAATCGCTTGAACCTGGGAGGCGGTAGTTGTGGTGAGCCGAGACCACACCACTGCACTCCAACCCGGGAAACTCTTGTCTCAAAAAAAAAAAAAAAAAAAGAAATATTATTGTCAAATTAAGTACACCCTATCAACACCCAGTTATTTAAACCCAAACAAGTAACTGTGGTATAGAAAGAAAAAGTGATTATAATAAGGTATTTTTATAAGGGGAATTAATTAGGAGGAAATATGTGGTGATTTCCTAAGTCAAACAATCTGTTTTCAGAGCAAGTATATCTGACATGACAGTAAAAATACATTTTAGGGATTGCCGTAAACATTAGATTCTCATATAACTACTTAGGGATGAGATTCAAGGCACAGCCACATAAAAATTCTATTGGTGAGGGGAGACAAAACACCTGTCAAAGGTCTATACATCATTTCAGTCATCAGAAAAGACCTTTGAATTTATGTTTCTAAATTACATTTCCCTATATTTTCTTCCTTCTTGTTTTGAGCCCTGGGACTGTAACTCTATTTTCTTTTTAATTTTTGGAAAACTAGAAAGATATTTTACCATGTTCACACAGTTTTTTTTCTACTCTTTTGGAAAATTCTTCCAACTTCTTTGAGCTTTACCTCTGAGGGCAACCACAGTTAATGTCTATTCCATTCGCATAAGGACAGACTATACGAGCAGCATCAGATAAAAGTCTTGCATCGTTAGCAGCAAACTGAACAATCAATGGGCAATCACCTGACAAAATGAATAGCTCAACATTAAAATTCACAGGAAAAAACCCCATGCACACACACACCAAACTTTAATGTTTGTACAGGATAAAATAGCAATAACGATTTTTTAGCCTAAGAAGCATCTGTCCAAATAATATAACATTAAACAATTTAAAATATTTAAAATTAAAAGCAATTTACACGGTAAAAAATTCAAACAGTACAAAATTTGATAAATGAAAACAATTCTAATACTTTTGACAAAATAGACCCTCTTCTCAAAGGTGAGAATTAGTTTACTGCATTCCAGAACAATTTTTTTGTATACCTGTAAAATTTAAACAAGTGTGAACAATCTATATATACCACTGTGCCTAGTGTTCCTTTCTTTCCTCATGTATCTGGGAGATGTACTCAGACCTATTTTCTTCTTTATAGTGGGATATTCCGCTGTACGGATGGACCATATAGTGTATTTTTAGACTGTTTCACATGCTCTGAGTATATTCATAGGGTAAATTCTTAGGAGAATTGTTAATAGGCATT
This sequence comes from Homo sapiens, assembly GCF_000001405.40. NCBI lineage: Eukaryota > Metazoa > Chordata > Mammalia > Primates > Hominidae > Homo > Homo sapiens. The sequence continues at coordinate 418,834 of NW_017852930.1, read as the reverse complement.
TAACATACAACACTGTGATAGATATTACAGAATTATCTTTCAAGAGTTTACCAATATAGACATATACCAATATGGATAAAAGTTCTTGTTTCCTCACAACTTATCATACAGTGTATATCCAACATTTGAATATTCTAATTTGTGAGCTCTCTTCATATTCTTTGCATTTTTCTGTATATAATTTTTCCATTAGTTGTTCTTTTTATTTGTAATTTTTTTAATAAAACAAAGAAATTAGTATTGCTATCTATCATGTGTTATAAATATTCTCCTCAGTTTTTTGTCTTTGAGTATATTTGTGCTCTTACATATAAATGTTTAATTTTTTTTTTTTTTTGAGACAGAGTCTGTCACCCAGGCTGGAGTGCAGTGGCACAATCTCAGCTCACTGCAACCTCTGCGTCCCAGGTTCAAGTGATTCTCCGGCTCAGTCTCCCAAGTAGCTAGGATTACAGGCACCTGCCACCATGGCCAGCCAATTTTTGCATTTTTAGTAGAGATAGGGTTTCACCATGTTGGTCAGGCTGGTCTCAAACTCCTGACCTCAGGTGATCCACCCACCTTGGCCTCCCAAAGCGCTAAGATTACAGGCATGAGCCACCGCCTCTGGCCCAAAGTTTTAATTTTAATACAGCCGAATGTATTAAAGCTTCCTAGGTTTTAAAGAACATATTTTTCGTATCCTTGGGTCAGTGTTATAAACTCTGTTTAGATGTATTTCAACATTTCTTTTGAGGAATACTTGTATGAGATTCACTGGGTGTTTATGAAAATGCAGATTTGTGGGCATCATCCTAGTTGCACTGATTCAAGATTCCTATGGCAATCTACTGATTTACAGGATTATGATGGTTTAGGAGAATTTGCTTTATTCTTTATGGAGATGTAAGGTGCTTTCCCTTTTGTAACTCAAGAGAGTTACAGAATTTCAATTTAACAACCATTTATTGGTCTAATATATTTCCAACACTGTACTAGATGCTGAGGATACAAATCAAGCTATTTCTAAAGCTACAGCCCTCAAGGAGGCCGAACCTAATGGGAGAAACAGGCATATAAAGAGGAAATCATAATGCAGTAGAATTAAGTGATTAAGTGCAACATAAGAGCCTGTGCTTAGCAGGGAGGACATGAGTAGAGGATGATCAAAAAAAAAAAAAAAGATTCATGGCTACAAATATTGAGAGCTGAATGACGAAACATAAACTACAGTTTGCAAGAGAGAGAGGGGGTCTGGTGTGAGAAGACAGTGTATGTTCAAGGACTTAAAATAACTTAGGAATTTTGAAGGATAAAGTCAGTGGGGTGTGGGGAGAAACTGAAGGAAGATAAGGCTGCAGAAGATGTATTCAGAGGTCAGATTATGAAAAACTGTGTATTATCTTTAGGTGCTGAAATTTTAGTCTTTAAGCCAGTAGTTCTCAACCTTTAACAAGCTCAGAATTACCTGGAGAGCTTTTAAAACACAGATTGCTGGACCACATATGTGGAATTTCTGATTTAGTACACCTGTAAATCTCCATTTCTAACAAGTTTCCAGATAATACTGATGCTGCTGGTCTGGGGATCACACTTTGAGAACAATGAGAGAAAAATTTACATGTTCAATAGGTCACTTTGGTCTCCTTGGAGGATAGTTTGGAATGGTACAAGACTAGAGGCAGTGTGACAGGAATCTACTCTAGTAGCCCTAGTGAGAGGAGAGGGTTTCAAAGTGACCTTACACTTTGGTATATACACTGATAGTTTGCAAGGCATTCAGTAATAACATGTAAAAAATACTTATTAAAAACACTAAAGAACTAAAGCTTCTTCACATAAAATCTCTAAATTGTGTTGTTTCTGATAAGATAGTTGAGTTTGTAAACAAATTTAAAAAGTTTTACAAAGTCAGTACACTCGGTTTCACATACCTTGATTTGTGGTAAATTCGCTGTCTCTGGCTTTTATAGATTTGACAAAATCAGCGGCAACAATCATTGGTGTGTAACACAGATCACAACTATATTTTCTTACTAGTGTCCTAAAAGCCAACCTGTGAGCATATAAAACCTTAATTATGCATTTAGAAACACCACAAACATATTTTAGTGCATTGTTAAATATTTATCAGAGAAAGTTCTACCTATGGGGAGATGGAGGAGATTTACTTTTCCCTATTATTCCTGTTAAGTATTACTAAAAACCTTGGATATTATATATAAAACAAACACAAGAAAATTTTGAAAGGTGAAGAAAAGATGTCCAGATAGGCTAGTGACCTCAGGACCTGAGGAATGACAGGGTGGTGAGTTCTCTGGGTTTTATTTTTGTCTCAAATATCCTAGACTTGAAGAAGCTGGCCACCTGGAAACAACAATGGATGCAGACAAAACCAGCCCCAACAAAAGCCTTCTCTAACCAAAGGACCAGGAAAATGTTCTGTCTGACCTAGTAAGACAGAAAACTTTTAGACAGTTCTACTCCAGCCAAATACTGTAGAAAAAGCTATGGCTTTATCTCCATTAGCAAAGGCCAAGTGGGAATCCTAGACTTCTACCCTCCAAAGGCTGTAACAAGGTGCTCCAACATTCTATTGATACCAAGGCCAGGTAAGGATCTGAAACTTTCATCTCTGGTGGCCACTGAGGTCACTCCCAGCCCAGTGGTATCAGTGGAGGCCACAAGGGGAGCCTGGACTTCCATGCCTGCCAGCAGTAATGAAGCACTCTTCTCCCTCCCTGCTTGGTGTGGTGTCAGAGGAGGCATAGTGGAGAGCCAGGACTTTCATTATTGCCCAGCACATATGAGGCTACCCTCACTATGGGGAACTGGAACTCTCATCACTGCCCCGCAGTAATGAGGAGCTCCTCACCCACCAGATGTCGAAGGAGGCCAAGTGGAGAACTTGGATTTCTATCAGATAGCAATGAGGTGGCACCACTCCCCTACATCATTCCCTGCTGGAGTGTTGTCAGAAAAAGCCGGTTAAAACAGAAGGTGCAATAGTCAAAATCAATTAATGTAATCCATCATATTAACAGGCTAAATAATAAAAATCACATGATCATATAGATGCAGAAAAGGCATTTGACAAAATACACTCATACATAGTTAAAAAAAAAAAAAGCTAACTCTTGGAAAACCAGAAGTAGAGGGAACCTGCCTCAGTTTGATAAAGTATATCCACAAAATTCCTACAGAACACTTTTGCCTTAGGAACAAGGTAAGGAAGTCTGCTCTTATCACCCTTATTCAACACGGCGCTGAAACTTCTAGTCAGTGCAATAAGGCATGATAAAGAAACAAAAGGCATATGATCAAAAGGAAGAAATCCAACTGTCCTTATTTGTAGATGACATGGTTGTTCATATAGACTCTGAAGGAATTTACAAAAAAACTAGAACCAACAAGTGAGTTTAGCAAGTTTTCAGGATATAAGATCAACATACAAAAATCTATTTCTATGTGCTAGCAATAAACATGTGAACACCAAAAATTAAAAATTCTATTTACAAACATGCTCAAAACCTGGGTGTCTTACAAAACATGTGCAGAACTTGTATGCTGAAAACTACACAATACTGATGATAGAAATCAAAGAAAATCTCAATCAATGGAAAGATATACTGTGTTCATGGATTGGGAGACTCAACCTAGTAAGAAAGTCAGTTCTTCCCAAGTTGAGGTATAGGTTTCACACAGTTCTTATGAAAATTCCAGCAGGGTTTTTTGCAGAGATAGACAAGGTCATTCTAAAATTTATTTGTAAAGCAAGGGAACTAGAATAGCTAAAACAATTTTGAAAAAGTAAATAAATTGGGAAGAACCAGTCTACCTGATTTCAAGACATATTATAGAGCTATATAGTAAAACTGTGTGGTATTGGTGGGGAAAAAGATACAAGATCAATGGAACAAAACAGAAAATGCTGATTTCTCACAAAGAAGCAAAGAATTAGCGGAGAGATAGCCTTTCTTTTTTTATTATTATTTTTGAGACGGAGTTTTACTCTTGTTGCCCAGGCTGGAGTGCAGTGGTGCGATCTTGGCTCACTGCAACCTTCACCTCCCAGGTTCAAGCGATTTTCCTGCCTCAGCCTCCCAGCAGCTGGGACTATTGGCATGCGCCACCACGCTGACTAATTTTTGTATTTTTAGTAGAGATGGGGTTTCACCATGTTGGCCAGGCTGGTCTCGAACTCCTGACCTCAAATGATCTGCCCACCTCGGCCTCCCAAAGTGCTGGGATTAGGATTTGATGGCGTGAGCCACTGTGCCTGGCTGATAGCCTTTCAAAAATGATGCTGGAGTAATTGGACATCCATAGGCAACCTAACCTAAGCCTCACACTTACATAAAAGTTAATGCAAAATTGATCATGGACTTAAATGCAAAACATAAAACTATAAAACTTTTAGGGAAAAAAACTTAGGAGAAAATATTCAGGATCTGGAGCTACATAAAGGTTTCTTATACTTGACATCGAAAGCACAATTTACAAAAGGAAAAATTGATGTTAGACTTCATTAAAATGAAACTTTTGTTCTGCAAAAGATCCTGTTAGGAGCATGAAAGACAAGCCATATACAGGGAGAAAATACGTGCAAATCACACATCTGACAAAGCAGAATATATATCTAGAGTATAATAGAAAACAAGAAAACAAACAAATGGACAAAAGCACTTGAATAGATACTTCTACAAAGACAACATACAAATGGCCAATAAACACACAAAAAGATGTTCAGCATCATTAATCATTAGGGAAATGCAAATTAAAACTGCAATGAGATACCACTTCACACCCATTAGGATGATTATAATAATAAAATAAAAACTCCCAGAACATAACAAGTGTTGATGAGGATGTGGAGAAATTAAAACTCTTGTTCACTGCTGGTGGTAAGGTAACATGGTGCAGCTGCTATGGAAAGCAGTACAGTAGTTGCTCAAAAAATTAAACATAGAATCACCATATGATCCAGCAATTCTACATCTGGGTACATAGTCAAAAAGAATTGAAAGCAGGGTCTCAGAGACCTGTTACGAACCATGGGTATTTGTATATGGGTATTTGTACACCCATAGTTCATGACAGTATTATTTGCAGTAGCCAAAAGGTGGAAGTTATCTTGTGTTCTATCAATATATGAATGGATATCAACAGATGAATGAACAAAATATACATAAAATGGAATATTATTCAGCCTTAAAAAGGAACAAGTCTGATATATGCTACAACATGAATGAACCTTGAGGATGTTATGCTGCATAAAATATTAGCAAAATAAATCCAGTTCTGAACAAATACGTATAAGACTTATATGAGGTACCTAGAGTAGTGAAGTTCATAGAGGGAGAAAGTAGAATAATGGTTGCCAGGGGCTGCTGTGAGGAACAGTGGAATGGGGAGTCACAGTTTAATGTGATAGAATTTCCATCTTCTAAGATGAAAAGAGTTTTAGAGATCAGATGCACAACAATGTGAATGTAATTAACACTGCTGAACTGTATACTTAAAAATGATCGAGAGGTAAATTTTATGTTACGTATATTTTATAACAAACTTCTAAAAAAACTCAATAGTAAAAGAGCAAACAATCCAATTAGAAGATGAGCAAAAGATACGAAGAAATATTTCTTCGAAAACTGAACACACAACTACCTTAGGACCCATAATTGCACTCCTATTTGTCCCAAGACTTAAGTTCACATAAAAATCTATACATCAATACTTATATCTATTTAATATCCATTATATACTTATAGGTAGGAGTTACAACCACCACCATTTTTATAGATATAAAAAGTGCAGCTCAGAGAAGTTAATTGTTTACTCAGGATCACATATATACTAGGCAAGTAGTAGCATCATGACTCAATTCTAAGTCATGATTCCAAAGCTAAGAGTTTGAAGTTCCCATATGGTGGGTGGTCTTACAGTACTTTTAAAAAGTCAGAGCATAAAAGGGAAATTTCATCTTAGTTCATTAATCATTTTGCAACACTTACTTTGAATATCGAACCATTGGGGCACAGACTTTTACCAGCTGTCCAGAATGAAACATTTCTATGGGATCTTTTTTTCTTTCCTGACATATTGTCGTTTGCATGCAGTCACTCTTCATTAATACAGATATGTTTCAAATCTGAAAAAGACAATAAGCTTGTATAGAGAAAATATGTTTTCACTATATTAATTCCATTCTAACAATTTCAACTGCCAACAACATATATTTTTTATCAGGCTTGTGGGCTCAGAAATTTTTTTATTAATAGCTTATTTTCACAGTATCCAATATGATACTATAGAATGCTGCCTCTATTTGTAAGATAAATAGATGTGGAAAACTACCCAAGATAGTTGTGGAAACACAAGATGCAGAAAACGAGATTTTTTTTTTTTCCCTAGTTTACCATGTTGTAAGTTTTCATGTTATTTAAAAATTTTTTACATGTTACTTTGTTGGGATTGGTAAGCCAAGAAATTTGGTTTGAATTATTTTATATATGATACTCGACTGGCATTTGGAAATATCTTGTTTTATTCAGGAAAGTTAAATGGCATTAATAGAGCAACTCTTAAGTAGTCAGTGTTTCAAAAGATATGCTGGTGCTTTTATTGTAATTCTTGAATCCTGTTCTGTCTGTGAATCAGAAGATAAACAAACGTTAATTATTTTTAAAAATTTTAATGTGATATTATCTAGTGAAAATTTCAATTATAATTCTACAATTGCATTGTAAATCACTTTTATACCCCAAGAGGTACAGGTACGAGTGATGAAATTATGGAGTTTGTAAATGTTTTACATTTGCTATACTTAAAATCCTACTATTTCACAGTGTTGGCTACTTTTCATATTCCAGTCCTTGGCCTCAGTAACTTAGAAACAGGTATGTATGAAGGAAAAATGAAGCAGAAAATAACAACAACAAAAAAAAGAATCAGATATGGGCCAACTTTAGAATGGTCTAATTGCTCAAACTTTAGAGTCTTTAACCTTTAGGCAAGGAGTTGAAATTAAAAATAGCCAAGGTACTTAAGGATGTCAGGATCTTGCAAGAAACCGCTGGAAGCACCAATATTTAAGTAACAGAGGAAAAGGGGAGAGCAAAAGAGACTGAAGATGAACTTTGGAGCTGGGAGGAATAAACCTAAAGAGTGATACTCAGAAAACGAGAGAGACCATTATGAAGGAAGGAGGGGATAGGTATCTTAAACATCAAAGTAAGGCAAAAATAAAGCGCAATGGCAACAAGGTCATTAGTGATTTTAGCAAGAATTACTTCATTTTTATCCACTCCTGCAGTCATAGTAAATGGCATACAGAAGGCCTCAATATTTATTTGCTGAAAGAATAAATCAGTAGGTTTCAGGGGACTGGGCTCACACCTGTAAACTCAGCATTTTGGGAGGCCAAGGTGGGAGGCTTGCTTAAGGCCAGGAGTTTGAGACCAGCTTGGGCAATATAGTGAGACCCCCATCTCTAAAAAAATTATAAAAATCAGCTGGGCGTGGTAGCAAGCGACTGTGATCCCAACTACTCCAGAAGCTTGGGCAGGAGGATCCCTTGAGCCCAGGAGGTTGAGGCTGCAGTGAGCCACGATCCTGCCACTGCACTCCAGCCTGGGTAACAGAGCTAGACCCCAACTCAACAAAACAAAACAATCAGTAGCTTTCTACCTTAGTTGTACACTACAATGACCCGAGGAGCTTTTAAGAATTAGCATGCCCAAGCCATACCCTAGACCAATTAAATCCAAACGTCTGGGCTCAGGATGCAGGCATCAGTGTTTTTATTAAAGCTCTTCAGGTGATTTCAATGTGCAGCTAAGCTTGGAATTACTGGAATAAGTAAATCCAAAGATTCCAAAGCACCTGGTACAATTGTTTGTTTAAATGGGTTCCTACCTTACCTATTAACTCCTTTTAGAATATGGATTGAGTCTTATGTTTGTAAACTCATGAGAGCATGCAGAGTAGAGGGGTCAAAACTTTCGCTGTATGAATGAATATTACTCACTCTTCTAAAATCTTCCACTGGGGGGAATAAAGCCAAGGAAGGAAAAACAATTCCTAATTCACAAGTAATGAATGAATCACCCCTATTCCCATCATGACTAAGATCTTACATACTAGGGAAAATCCTCTGAGACAAAGAGAGCATAATGCAGTGTAGCATAAGACTTGCTTACCTGAGGTGTTATGAGTATGAAATGCATTGAGTTATAAAATACTTAGAACAGCGATAAGCACAGGATAAGTAATAGCACCTTTTTGAAACAGAATGTAGAAAACCACGTAGCTCTGGAACTGGATAAAATTGGTTTCCTGGATACATACCTACTGTACAAAATGAAAAAGTCATCTTCCAGCTTCTTTTTGCGAAGAAGCTTAAGACTGTCTTGCATACTTGTGGTTGCCTGACCCTGTTAATTTATCAGTATTTATCTTAGAAGAAAGAAATCTAGGTCAAAAACGCGAACGTATTAGTAAAGAAGATACAATGGGAACCAACCTGATGCTCTTACAGCGTCAATACTGTTAGTTGAGATGTGGACCATCTATCAGTTTGTAATTAAGAAAAAGTCTGGCACGTGACTGAAACTGAGGAAGAAGTAGAAAAGGCAAAAGGTCAAAGGTCTCATGGGAAGGAAGGAGGGTAGAGACAGTGAGTTTTATTGGTCCTTTTATGGTTCAGACTTCCTTCTTCATCGACTCTCCCTAATTCTCTTCACTGTTCATCCCCAGCAACTTTTCTTCCCAAGCATTTCCTGCGGGCTTTTATTACCCCAGGAGTGCCAATCAAGGCGTGGAACAGATAAAGCTGTGTAGCAACTAACGCGTGACTCTTGTGAGTGTGGAGGGCAAACGAAGCTCCCTGAAACCTCCGCTCTGCTCTCCTGCCTTACGCCGCGCGGCCCCTGTTCTGAGGTTTAATACTTGCTTCACAGATAAGCGCTGCGGCCACGTTCCGGTGCCCACCTTCTCCTTGGCTAGGGCACGACGCCAGCCCAGGGGGCGCGGCCCTGAGCTGCTGCGAGAGACAGCTGAAAGCGCCGGCCCGACGGCCTTGGCTCCCTCGGTGCGCTGGGCGCAGAGCACTCGGACCCTGGGCGCCCACTGCTCGAGTACCTGCGCGGCTCCTAGCCAGGCTTAGCCCAGGCGCGGGCTGAGAGTCAGTTCGCCAGGTGGGCCTGGAGCCATGGGCTGGGTGGGCGGGCGGCGCCGGGATTCTGCGTCACCACCTGGGCGGAGCCGTTCTGCTGCTGACGACATCAACCCGGCACCTGCCAACATGGAAGGTGGCGGCGGCAGCGTCGCTGTAGCTGGCCTCGGAGCTCGAGGCTCTGGAGCGGCTGCAGCTACAGTCCGGGAACTTCTGCAGGACGGTAAGGAGACGGGGTCTGACCAGGTCGTGGGGTTGGGGGTCTGCGCTGCTCCGCACCTGGACAGCGAGGTGGACCCAACCCGTTGCTTTGCAGAAAGTTTTCCAGTCTGGACGTGACCACTCCCCTCCGCCCGGCCCCCTGGCTTGGGTACTGTTCTAGCCAACCTATTTACTCTGGGACTGGCTCCCTCTTTTCTGGAGTCTTGGGGACACTTGGTTTCTGTGTGTTCCTCATTTCAACTCGACCCCCCCCCCCCCCATGCCTCCAGCTTCCCTGAAGTTTCGGGAGCCCAAACCCTGTGGACCGCGTTGGCAGCCACCGGCTGCTGCCGCAGTTCTTGACGAAGGGGTGTAGCGTTCGAGCTCTTCAAAAGTGTAAGCTCTAGAACAGACGGCAGACGCATAATGAAATAGGGCCTTGTTTTAAAGTAGAGCTGGAAACGCTTACTCCTTTAACAAATGGACTGTACAGGTGACCCCTCTTACAGGCTGGTTTTTTTTTTCCTCCTTTATGAGGCAGTTATCTACAGTGACACGTGGGGGAGGGTTTGAGACATTTGTTCAGGTTGGGATTAACCATTTGTACAGAATCTAGCAGTCAGATTTTATTGCTAGTCAGTTTGGAGAGAAGTTGCCCAAAATAAGAAAAGTTAGATATAATATACTTGAAAAGCATATTCAGTTGTGTCAATCCAGTTACCATGTCCCGAATCTCTTATCCTTCAGAATAAAGTTCACATTTATAAGCATAAAAATAAAGCCCTTCTCACCTGTTCTTAATTTTTTCTCTAGTGGCCATCGCATTCTACCTTGTACTAAAATCATTTGTATACTTGTTTTAATCTCTTCTGTATTGCAAACTTTTTTTAATATCCCACAGTGTGAATAGCAGTATCTTGCATACAGTAGGTGCAGAATGTTTTTTAAATTCATCATCGCAGTTAGAAGCACATGCACACATTTGAAGACCGAAGTGGGTAATAAATGAAATAAAGTTCCAAATTATTGTTTATTTTCTCTGACTGTTAAATATTTTATTGTCATCCTGAATTACGTGCCTTTTCATGATAATTTATGTACTTTTGTCAAAAGCAATGATGTTTTCTGAACTATTTCATGTTGGAAACTCTAGGACCGGGTCTCTGTCTAAAACTTGGCTAAACTGAATTTAAACTTTAGATACAAGGCAGAGACCCTGATATATTTGCAGTTGCTCCTGATACACGTGCAATTTTTGCCCTCAAGTAGTTCACCATCTAGTAGAGGAAATAATCTTGTAGACTATAAAGGTAGGTGCTGTAATATAGTGATGTAAGATAGCAGTAGGATTGCATATAAAGTAGAGCATTAATACAGAGGAGAATGATAACTGGGGGTTGGAAACTGGTTAGGAAATGTCAGAAAAGGCTTTCTAGGTGGAGACGTTTTAAACTGTAGACAGGACTTCCCCAGGTGAACAGTGGAACATTGGATATATGTTTCAGTAGGATGTATTTCAGGAATTGTAATCAGTTCTTGGACGGTAAATACTCTTCAGTTCTGCCTTCTGTATTTTCCTCCTTGGTTCTCTGCCATTCTCCACAGTGATTGTTTAAATCTTCTTTACCCTTTTCAAACCTTTCGCTTCAAGCTCAACAAATGACTTTAAGCTTCCCTGGGGAGAAAAAGAGGATCCATCAGATGTGAACTTTCTCCATTTCTTGCCCATCAAACCTATGAATTTAACCTCAACGTATAACCATCTGTTGCACCTTTTTTCCCTTGCCTTTTCAATTGCAACGGAAGTGGAGCCTCTGCTCCTTTCTTTCTTTCTTTCTTTTTTTTTTTTGAGACGGAGTCTCGCGCTGTTGCCCAGGCTGGAGTGCAGTGGCGCAGTCTCGGCTCACTGCAAGCTCTGCCTCCGGGGTTCACGCCATTCTCCTGGCTCAGCCTCCTGAGAAGCTGGGACTACAAGCGCCCATCACTATGCCTAGCTAATTTTTTGTATTTTTAGTAGAGACGGGGTTTCACCGTGTTAGCCAGGATGGTCTCGATCTCCTGACCTCGTGATCTGCCTGCCTTGGCCTCCCAGAGTGCTGGGATTACAGGCGTGAGCCACCACGCCCGGCCGAGTCTCTGCTCCGTTCTAAGGATAGTGCCTCCTACTTTGCTCTGGATTTTTTCTTCCTGTTTCCTGGGGACTCAGTCACCCTCAATCTATGCCATTGAAGTAACTTTGCAAGGTTTTCAATGACTTTCTTGCACATACGACAAATGGACACTTTTTTGGTCCTTTAACTTGTAATAACATTTGATTCCTTTCTTGAAATACTTTCCTCATGCGGTTTATGGGTGCCGTGCTTTTTAAAAATTCTTAATTCTCTAGGTGCTCTTTTCCAGGTTCCTGTAGATACTTGTCAGTTCAGTTTGTTCTGAATTAAGCGGTCTCTGTTGCCCCTCCACCCCCAACATTCCTGAGGAATTAAGCATTTCCAGCAGAAACTTTGATTCACTATATCGGGGATTTGGCCAATGACAGAGTATCGGATTGATAGGCTTGGTGAGCACAGATGCATAGTATGAAAATTGGTGAGGTGTTTCTGATATGCCCTCTATGGGAATGAGGAAACTATAAAAGAGAAGCATTATATAATTCATCTCTTTAAAGGCTGTCAGCCCTCAAATGCCACATCCCGTTGTGTTTGATCTTTGTAAGCTCTATGACAATACTAATACTTACTTTCTTTATCCCTTCTTTTGGCTTTTGCCATTCTTTTTTGTTTCTCTTTCTCCCTGAGCACTCTTTAGTCTCTTTGATTGCTTTCATTTTCTCTGTCCACCCCCCACTTTCCTATCTTCCTCATTTTCCTGCCTTTTTGTGCATTCTAAAACTTTTTTTTCCTAAATCATCTGGTCTTGTCTGTGGTTTCAGTATGCTCCTTACCTGTCTTCTGAATTATAAAACTATATTTTTAACTGCCTACTGGACATTTCTATCTTAATTTTTTTATGATATGCCATTCCATAACCTGTATGGACATTTCTATTTTGATAGTAAACAAGCAGTGCTAGTTCTATAATACACATGAAAACCTACATATGAACAAATAGTACAAGGTTTACATATGAAAAAATGAAATGAATTCACTTTTTCTGTTCTTCTCTCCTAATCTTTTCCTCTGGTAGTTTCTGTTATCTGTGTTTACTATGTTGTTAGGTAAATGTGTGCTTGTTCCCCTTGTAAATTATGAATTCCTTGGAGGCAGAAGTTTATGTTCATCTTGGTATATTCAGTGTCTAGTGGTCTAAGTTAGTGTAAAACTAAATTTCCTGTATCAGTTGCTTAATCCAGAAATTTGGGAATCCTTGTTTGTTCTACCTAATCACCCATTTTCAGCTTGTCACTAAGTCCTACATCCTGTGCAGTGTGAATATTTGTCAAATTTGTCACTTTGACATTCTTAGTGCCACTTATTCAGGTCTTAGTCGGGCCTTCATTATGTCTTAGGCTGTTAACATAGTACTTTACTGGCCTCTGTGGTTCTATTTCTTGGGTGTATTGGTTAATTGGCTTTGTGGGAAAATAGAAAAAGCCCTGATTTTTGTAGTGTTTGCTGATTACCATGGTGTAAATACTCTCACCATCGTAGATTTTAAGATATCTGTGTGAAAGGTCAACTGGCTCACAGAATTCCTGAAAATGTAACAGTCTGTGCTCAAGAGCCAATAAGAGGCAACTTCAGCACATTGCTGTGTGACTAATCCTTTTTCCATCATCCTCTATACAGCTGCCAGGATTATTGTTCTGTAACATAAAGCTGATAGTGCAATTTCTTGGGTTAAATGAGATATGGTTAAACATTTCAAATGTCTTACAAACCTCTTTTCAAACTGCGCTCCAACCTTTGGAACCACATCTGTCATTCTTTACCATTTCTGTCCAATATACATGTGCTATGATTTAGACACACTGAAATCAGTATTCCCCTTGTTTCTCAAAATATGCCATGGCATTTGCCACTGCTAAACCTTCCCTTTGCTTGGAATGGCTTTTTTCATTTGTCTGGCTGACAGGACTCTTAATTCTGAGAAGCACTTGGCAAATCAGAAGGAAATGTGGTTCTCAGACTTAAAAGCAGCCAAAGTAGCAGTTTCCTTCTTTCATTCCACTACATTTTAAGAATAATCAAGAGTATGAGCCTTTACTTTTTGTTGTTGGTTGTTACCAGAATGATACTAATGATACATCAGCTGATGTATAGATTAGTTAATTCATGGAACCTGCCATGTGTCTGGTATTGTTCAGACACTGGAGAAGAGTTAGCAAACAAAACAAAGACCTTCTTCCCCTCTTGGAGCATACATTATAGCAGATGTAGACAATTTAGGTTTTCTTAAAAGTACTCTATTTTGTTTGTTTCATAATCTCTCTCAAGGCAGCTTTACTTGTATCTACTGTATCATTAGGAGATTTGGTACATGGTTACCATGAGCTCCCTTCTGGGTATCTATTTTTAGCTTTCAATTCTCTTAATTTTTCTTTCATCCACATATTTGTGGATTTCTATATTGAGGGGTATCTTTTTAACATCTGGTATTACTTCTGTTTTCTGTCTATTAGGGGCCTATTTTAAACAGCTTTTCTTTCCATTAACATATTTCACCCATAAATCCTAAATTTCAGTAACACCTATAAATTTATATTTCCTATTGTTACTAAAATTCCAGATTCACTTTGCTATAACAGTATTTGTGTATTGATCTAGAGATATCTGAGGCCATAAATATTACATATGTGTATATATATATATAGAGTCAATTTTCCTGTTGTCTTTTCACTGACAATGATCTTGTTTTCTTGGATTAATAGTTATAGCTAGTAGTTATGGTTTTTTTTTTTTTTTTTTTTTGAGATGAAGTCTTTTTTTTTTTTTTTTGGGACAGAGTCTTGCTCTGTCGCCCAGGCTGGAGTGCAATGGCGCAATCTCAGCTCACTGCAAGCTCCGCCTCCCGGGTTCACGCCATTCTCCTGCCTCAGCCTCTCGAGTAGCTGGGACTACAGGCGCCCACCACCACGCCCGGCTAATTTTTTTTATATTTTTAGTAGAGACGGGGTTTCACTGTGCTAGCCAGGATGGTCTTGATCTCCTGACCTCGTGATCCACCTGCCTCGGCCTCCCAAAGTGCTGGGATTACAGGTGTGAGCCACCGCGCCCGGCCAGAGATAAAGTCTTGCTCTGTCACCCAGGCTGGATTGCAATGGCACGATCTCGGCTCACTGCAGCCTGTGCCTCCCGGGTTCAAGCTATTCTTCCACTTCAGCCTCCCGAGTAGCTGGGATTACAGGCACCCGCCATGATGCCCAGCTAATTTTTGTATTTTTGTAGAGATGGGGTTTGAGGTTTCACCATGTTGGCCAGGCTGGTCTTGAACACCTGACCTCAGGTGATCCACCCACCTCGGCCTCCCAAAGTGCTGGGATTACAGGCATGAGCCAGTGTGCCTGGCCAGTCGTTATGTTTTTTAATCTCTTTCTCAATGTTATACTTCCTTTAGGGTCATGATAAAAGTAAGCATTAAGCAGTATAGTGGAGTGGTTCAGAGTATGGGATCAAAATATGTTAATTATGATTATAATTGTTCTGTTGTTTAATAACTGGTTTAGTACAGGGTAATTAAGGACTTTTCCTTATTTTTTCCCCAATCCAGGGTGTTATAGTGACTTTTTAAACGAAGACTTTGATGTAAAGACTTATACTTCTCAATCTATTCATCAAGCTGTAATTGCTGAACAACTAGCAAAACTTGCCCAAGGAATCAGTCAGTTGGACAGAGAACTACACTTACAGGTAATTCTGATCTTCTGGGTCCCTATGGATTATTCAGCCTAAAGTGATAATTTAGCATTTTTGTAATCTTATTAAATACAAATGCATATTTACATGAAGAAGTACATACTTACCAGTGTGACTTATTTTTCAAAGTAAATTTTTGAAATTTTCTGTAAACCACTTTTTGTTTGTGGAAAAACTAATATACCACCTCACCAAAGCCTTTCATTCATACTTCCTGTTCACCACCTTAACTGATGTGCAACGAATATAGTGGGCAAAAAATAGGATGTGTTCGATAAAGATAATAGAAAATGGAATTTTGGAAGTAAAACAATATGAATAAGAAAAATTGGGATGTTACATTCGCAATTCATACTTTATTAGCACAAAGTGTAGCATTTGCTGAAATTACAGAAAGTTGATAAATGTTATTGTGAGTAGGATACAATATGAGATGTTAGGCGACGGGTCCTAATTTCAGCTATGCTGTTGTTAACTGACTTTAATATCACTTAAAGTCTTTGAGTCTTGCTTTTTTGTTTTTTAATCTATCAGATGGGTTGGAATAAGCAAGAGGAAGAGGAGACTGTAGTAGATAACTTTGAAGATTCCCTCCTCTACTAAAATTCTGTAAATTTTATAGGGCGATTTTATGGCATAATTTCTAGTGTTGCCTTTGATTGAGTAGGTATTTAATACATATTTAAATGAATGAACATATGCATGAAACATAGATTGTTTACCAGGAAACATAGATTTGGTATAACCTGAGACATATCCACTTGATCATTTTTGTGTCTTAGTTTCTTTGAGTGCCTTAGATAGGACTGGGATGCCTTCTAAGGTTATTTTAACTCTAAAATTCTGATTATGTATCATTTGATTTCAATCTTTATTGACAGATATTTAGAAAACACGTTTAGGCCGGGCGCAGTGGCTTATTCCTGTAACCCCAGCACTTTGGGAGGCTGAGGCGGGCAGGTCATGAGGTCAGGAGTTCCAGACCAGCCTGGCCAACATGGCAAAACCCCATCTCTACTAAAAATACAAAAATTAGCTGGGCATGGTGGTGGGCGCCTGTAATCCCAGCTACTCGGGAGGCTGAGGCAGGAGAATCACTTGAACCTGGGAGTTGGAGCTTGCAGGGAGCCGAGATCGTGCCATTGCACTCAAGCCTGGGCAACAAGAGCAAGACTCCGTCTCAAAAAAAAAAAAAAGAAAGAAAACACGCTTAATTGTCAAGCTTTGGGTTAGACTGTGGGGATAGCCAAATAAATAGAATACATTTCTTGGCTCTCCAAGGACCCACAGACCAGTGGCAGACACAGACAGAAATAATGGTAGGCAAGCGAGGCCTGTTTTAAATAGAACAGTGTAAGTTGTTTATGAGAGCGGGGATAATGTATTTAGTTTTGTCTAGAGTTCTCAGGGGGTGGCTTTTTGCAAGAACCACCTGAAATTCTTTTAGTCCTTTTATGCTTGGTATTTTCCTTATTCCTTGTATGCAGCATCTACTCTGCAGGAATCAATAAGAACTTAAAATGTATTTACCATCACTTAGAGGGGAGAAGTTGTAGTGGCCTAGGATGTGAGGTAGAGGAAGTCTCCGAGTCCCAGTAGTCTATATCAGTGAGATGACTAAAATTGTAAAACATTTACTATTAGGGTTTAGTGCAGGAACTAGAAATCACTCTAAGAAAGACACTTCATACAGAGAGTTTGGATGCTTATAAAATTGTTGGGTGAATAGCTAGTGGACGGAGTTGAAGGAACTACCACAGATGCAATACAGAGGCCTGGAAGTACCTGTTCTTACCTTCCATGCCAGTGCTAAAATTCTGCCTCTAGATATCTGATGACTAAATCCTGGAGTGATCAATGTGGTTCTCTTAACTGTCTCTAAATTCTCAGGTCTCAGGACCTTTATTACTAGCTGAAACAGTAAGCTTTCCTCTCTCCTTTTTTTTTTTTTTCTTTGAGACAGAGTCTTGCTCTGTCACCCAGGCTGGTGTATAAGTGGCACGATCTTGCTCACTGCAACCTCTGCCTCCCGGGTTCAAATGATTCTTGTGCCTCAGCCTCCTGAGTAGCTGAGATTACAGGTGTGCACCACCACACGTAGCTAATTTTTTTGTATTTTTAGTAGAGACAGGATTTCACCATGTTGGCCAGGCTGGTCTCAAACTCCTGACCTCAAATGATCCACCCACCTCGGTCTCCCAAAGTGCTGGGATTACAGGTGTGAGCCACCGTGCCCAGCCTAGCTTTCCTCTCTCTTGTCTTCCACAACTCTTGGAAAAATCATTTAATTGGTTGCAAGGGAGTCCATGAAACTATAGTTTTAGGCTTTTTAACCTTACCAAAGTATTACTAGTGATAAAGGAGAATAGATAATTTTTAAAAAGTTAGTCTTGTTAAGATGGACATATTGATGACCGTATCAGTAGGCTGGGAAAAATTCAGACATCTTCTGGCAACCTTACGAATAAAAGACCGAGGTGACCAAGAGTAATACTTTGAGTAGATATGATAGAAAGAAACTTGACAGAATGACAGTGATATCTGAAACAAGACAAAGTGGAGGATTTAGGGGTTCCAGTCGTTGGTGATTAAGAACTTCAGTCAGCAGACTAGACATGAAACTAAGTATTCATTGGAATAAAAGGCACACAATAATAAGGATTCCTGCATTATTCTAAAGATTTGCATGATTTTGTGATGTTTCTAGGAATGTCTTGCATGTCGCCTTTAGTAACCTTGGTTTTTTTGTTCTGGCCATCTGCAGTGCCCTAATTTTCATAAAAGTATCAAACATCTGTAGGGAAAAGGATTTGCTGTGGGTATGTGACACTGGGAAACTGGAAGCAGAGAGATGTTCAGGTATAGGTGAGCACTGAATGCTGTATCTTTCCAGAGTAGGATGTAGCCTTGGTGGTGCTGAATCAAATTCAAGAACAAAGAGAACCTGATGTTTGAAAATGTTCTTTAAAGGGAAAACATAATAATGGTGTGGCAATAATGAGCTGTTTTTTACATTTTTTGGCACAACTCCACTTGTACATCTCTTTAAGATAGCAAGGGGCTTGTCTGAGTGTTTGTGTTCCCCTAACATTCATATGTTGAAACTTAATCTCCAATATGATAGTATTAAGAGCTCGGGGCTCTTACTAGGGTTTAGTGCAGGGCTCTTAATACTATCATATCATATTGGAGAGGCCCGAGGAAGACTGTTTGCCCCTTCCACCATGTGAAGATAGATACAAGGTACCATCTGTAAGGAATGGGTTCTCACCAGATGCTGAATTTGCCAATGCCTTGATGCTGGACTTCCCAAACCCCAGAACTGTGAGCAATAAATTTCTTCTGTTTGTAAATTACTCAGTCTAAGGTATTTTGTGTTTGTAGTCCAAACAGACTAAGACAGGGCTAAGAAAAGGCTGTAACTCCTCTTGCTCTGTGTTGAACTGTAAATGTATGTGTGTTCCCGCTTACAACTCATCTCAGACACACCTTAAAAACCTGTGGTTTTTTCTTTTGTATTTGTATTTGCCTCGTTTCTACACCAAGAGAGACTGTCCATTCTACATTGTGGTTACAAGGAAGAATACCTAACAGAGCAAAAGCTAATCATTTATTTTTGATTTTCAGGTTGTTGCAAGACATGAAGATTTACTGGCACAAGCAACTGGGATTGAGTCGTTGGAAGGTATATTTCTAATAACTGCTAGAGATTATGTAGAGCTAGACCAGGGATTGGCAAGCTTTGGCAAGCTACTTTGGATGGCAAGTATTTTAGACTTTGCCAGCCATACAGTCTCTGTTGCAACTACTAAACTCTGCCATTGTAGAGTGAAAGTAGGCAGATAATATGAAAACAAATGTGTGTGGCTATGTTTCAGTAAGACTTTAGTGAAACTTTGCTGGCCCCTGAGCTAAATGATCTGGGTTCAAATCCTTGTTTTACTGCTTACTAGGTGTTTGACTTTGAGCAAGTTAGTTAACCCTTTTCTGCCTCAGTTTTCTTATTTGTAAAACAGGAGTATAATGTGTACTAACACAGCATTGTTCTGAGGATTAAATGAATTAGCAAGATACTTAGAACAATGCCTGCACATATTTAGTGCACCTGTAAGTGTTAGTTAATTAAAACAATAAAAACATCAACAATACCAGAGTGACTAGTAGTGGAAGAAGGCATGAATTTTTTTTCTTATTTTTGCCTTTCTTGGAGCCTTTTTTGCAACTCTTTTTAATGAAAATATAGTCAAGTAATAATTGGATTTTTATTTTTACAAATCTGCTTATTTTTGTTTGACTAAATCTTTTATGAATTTTTCATTCCCTCTTGATTAAATTAAACTACATCTCATAAATATGAAATGTTACTATTGTGTTTTACATTATTACTTGTGATTACTATTATTAATCATTGTACATCAGAAGAAAGGTAAGGGGTTTTTCTCGATGTTGATCAAATTCTTAAGGAGAGAGGATATTGTTTTCTGTGATGCAGTATTCTTTAATGCTTCCCCCAGTATTTCTCATGTACTCAAAGATACTAACTTATTCTCAGCATGTACAATATTTCTAAGATACCCTGATGAAGAACTTAGTATTTTTGGAAATAATAGTTTGTTATTTGAAATCTGGGATACATATCTGACTAGGTTCTTAGGAAGATTAGGAAGCTCTAAGTACCGATTGACTTAGTACTGGAAATTAATTACTATTATTAGTCATTTCAACTTTTATTTTAGATCCGGGGGGGTATATGTGTAGGTTTGTACCTGAGAATATTACATAATGCTGAGGTTTGGGGTACAAATGATCCTGTCACCCAGGTAGTGTGCATAGGACCCAACAGTTAGGTACTCCCTCCTCTAGTAGTCCCTATTGTCTGTTGTTGTCATCTTCAGGTCTATGAGTACCCAATGTTTAGCTCCCACTTATAAGTGAGACTGTGCAGTATTTGATTTTTCTCTTCCTGCCTTAATTTGCTTAGGATAATCACCTTCAGTTCTATCCATATTGCTATATAGGACATAGTTTCATTCTTTTTTTATGGCTGTGTAGTATCCATGGTATATATGTACCATGTTTCTTTAATTCACTGTTGTTGGGCACCTAGGTTGATTCTATGTCTTTGTTATTGTGAACAGTGCTGTGATGAACATACAAGTGCATGTGTCTTTATGGTGGAACAATTTATTTTCTTTTGAATATATATCCAGTAACAGGATTGCTGGGTCAAATGGTAGTTCTGAGTTATTTGAGAAATCGCCAAACTGCTTTCCACAGTGGCTGTACCTTCCCACCAAAAGCATATAAGCATTCCCTTTTCTCAACAGCCTCACCAGCATCTGTTGTTTTTTGACTTTTTAATAATAGTCATTCTGAATGGTGTGAGATGGTATCTCATTGTGGTTTTGATTTGCATTTCTCTGATGATTGGTGATGTTGAGCATTTTTTTTTCATGTGTGTTGCCTGCATGTATGCCTTCTTTTGAGAAATGTCTCTTTATGTCTTTTGCCCACTTTTTAATGGAGTTGTGTTTTTGCTTGTTGAATTAAGTTTCTTATAAATTCTGGATATTAGACCTTTGTCAGATGCATAGTTTGCAAACATTTTCACCCGTTCTGTAGGTTGTCTGTTTATTCTATTGATAGTTTCTTTGGCTGTGCAGAAGCTCACTAGTTTTAATTATGTTTTTAAATGTCATAATATTTTTATGCATTTTTGAGAGCATGTAATATTTTAATGGCAATCTTGAAAACATGCTAGTTTTTTATTAATAAGGATGGCATGGTAGTACATTGAGTGTGTATAGGTCTAGATGAATCACCGCAACAGAAATATTTCTCATTGTGGTTTTTAAATATGTGTTTTAGTTTATAATGTGCTTGTTTTTCCCAGAATGATGTTCAAAGATTAAAATATTTGAAATACACTGCTAGACTGAATTAGAATGATTATCTCTTGTGTGAGTGTGTAGAGTACAAAGGCTGGCTACTTTTTTCCTATGATTATCTCAGGATATTCACTAGATTATTTGAACATAAAAGATTGAAGTGTAGGCCAGGGTGCAGTGGCTCACGCCTATAATCCCAGCACTCTGGGAGGCCAAGGTGGGAGGTTCACTTGATCCCAGAGTTCAAGACCAGCCTGGGCAACATAATGAGACTCTATCTCTATAAAAAATAAAACATTAGCTTGGCGTGGTGGTGCATGTTTCTAGTCCCAGCTACTTGGGAGGCTGATGTAGGAGGATCGCTTGAGCCAAGGAGGTTGAGGCTGCAGTGAGCTGTGATTGTGTCCCTGCCCTCCAGCCTGGGTGACAGAGCAAGACCCTAGACCCTGTCTCAAAAAATAAATAAAAAACTTTAAATGTGAATTGGTTAGCATTCATTTTAGCATGATGTGTCTAGATGTTATTTTGAGATGCTGAAAAGTAAGTGTGGTGTGTATACATATTAGAAAAATTGAATATTATTCTAGCTTCTACTTCATCTGCTTTATTCTCCTAAATATGTAAAATTTTTTTAGCATGTAAGTAGTTTGGAGGTATGTTTAAGCCTATTTTATTTAAAAATGTTCTTTTTAAAAATATTCTTCCAAATATTACTTTTGAGAATTTGCTAGGTTTCAGAAAGCTATAGCAATAGAGTTTTTGTTTTCATGGAATTTTGAGGAATATTTATTAAGCTTCTTTTTGTCAAAAAGAGGTAGCCTCCCATCCTGGCTAACATGGTGAAACCCCGTGTCTACTAAAAATACAAAAAA
The DNA here is from genome assembly GCF_000001405.40 of Homo sapiens. Classification (NCBI taxonomy): domain Eukaryota; kingdom Metazoa; phylum Chordata; class Mammalia; order Primates; family Hominidae; genus Homo; species Homo sapiens. The sequence goes on along the minus strand of NW_017852930.1, from coordinate 396,864 downwards.
TTAGCCAGGTGTGGTGGTGGGTGCCTGTAGTCCCAGCTACTTGGGAGGCTGAGGCAGGAGAATGGCGTGAACCCCGGAGGTGGAGCTTGCAGTGAGCCGAGATCATGCCACTACACTCCAGCCTGGGCGACAGAGCGAGACTCCATCTCAAAACAAACAAACAAAAAACAAAGGTAGCCTCATTGATTTATTTGTTCATTCAGGCAATCAAATAGTAATTAATAACTTGTTAAGTACTAGGCACTTGTGAATGATAGACAAAGTCACTGTCCTTTTGGAACTATGTTCTGGTCCTGGAGGTAGATAAAAAAAAAAAAACAAAGTACAAGTAGAAAACAGGGCTGGGCATGGTGGATCATGCTTGTAACCCCAGCTACTTGGAATGCTGAGGCATGAGAATTGCTTGAACCTGGGAGGCAGAGGTTGCGGTGAGCCGAGATCATGCCAGTGCACCCCAGCCTGGGCAATAGAGTGAGACTGTATCTCAGAAAACAGAAAGAAAAATTTTATTTGTAAATTCTATAGAGAAAATAAAACAGGTGATGGGGATGGATGAAGGAGAGGGAAGGCCTTTTTGAGAAGATGACGTTTGAGCCAAGATCTAATGATGAGGAGGAGCCATCATGTGAAGATTTGAGGAGAAGACTGAACAATAAATGGGAAAGCAGGAATTAATTTGGCATGTTTGAGGGGCAGAAAGTAGCCCAGAATAGCTGATGTTTAGTGAAGGAGGGAGAGGATCGTAGATAAGGTTCTTGGGAAGGAATTTGGATTTAATTCTAAATGCAATGGTAAACCATTGGAAGAGTTTAATCAGGTTATTGTATGATGAGATTAATACTCGGAATAGTTTACTCTGATAGCTCTGTAGAAAAAGGCAATGGTGGAATCAGGGACACTGGTTTGGAAGCTATTAGAATAGTTGAAGTTGATGGTGCATTGGATTAGAGTGGTGGCAGATGGAGTAAAATGTAGGCAAAGCTGATAGGGTTTGTTGATGGCAGATGAAAGAGCTGATGGAAAAAAGTCACCGTGAGTTATTCCTAGGATTTTAGTCTCAAAAATTGGATAGATGATGGTATGAGTAATGGAGATGACATAGCCTGGAGAGAAGTGTGATTTTTGATAGGTTGGGGGGTAGGGCATAAACTGTCTTGGGTATCTTACATTTGATGTAACAGTACAGGGGAAGAGAGAGAAAGAGGACAGAGAGATAGGGAATGAGAACATAGGCAGATATATAAAGAAAATCTTTTTACATAGATGTATGTGTATACGTCTGTATATGTGTGTGTGTGTATAAAATCAGTATTTTATTGAACAGATACTATTTAAAACTTTGGGACTGAATGAAATTCCTGAAAGATTGTAGATGGAGAAGAGCAGATGGCTGAGGATCACGTCTTGGGGTACTCCAGCACATGTAGAGGTCTGACAGAGGAGAAGTGGGAACAACTAATGAGATAATAGGAGACCCAGGAAGTGTGATGATTTGAAAGCCTAGACAAGGCCAGGCGTGGTGGCTCACGCCTGTAATCCCAGCACTTTCGGAGGCCAAGGTGGGTGGATCACGAGGTCAGGAGGTCGAGACCATCCTGGCTAACATGGTGAAACCCCATCTCTACTAAAAATACAAAAAAAAAAAAAAAAATTAGCTGGGCGTGGTGGTGGGCGCCTGTAATCCCAGCCACTCGGGAGGCTGAGGCTGGAGAATGGCGTGAACCCGGGAGGCGGAGCATGCAGTGAGGGGGGATCAAGCCACTGCACTCCAGCCTGGGCGACAGAGCGAGACTCTGTCTCAAAAAAAGAAAGCCTAGACAAAAAATGTTTTAGAAAGGGAGTAGTCAACTGCTGTGAATTTCTGAGAGCTGGAACAAGGTTAAGACAGAACCAACAATAGAATTCGGCAACTCATAGATTTCTGGTGACCTTGGTAACATCTGTTTTGGTGGAGTATTGGTGGAAACCCATTGAGACTGGGTTGTGGAGAGAATATGATGTAAGAAAATGGTTATAAGTAATGGCAGTGTATTCTTGGCAGTGTATGGTGAATACACCACAAAACCAGCAGAAAAGTGGGAATCTTTGGTTCAGAGAGGATTCTATTGAACTGAACTCTGTTATTGTATACTTGTATGCTGATAGGAATGTTTATTTGTTCCAATATTATTTCATTTAAAATATGACCACATGTCTATACTTAAATTTAGATATTAATAGAATACTATGCTTTCAAAACAACTATGCCAGTTGGATATAGAAACTGAATTTTAAAGAATGGCATTCAAAATAATTAAATATCTGTACTAATTGAAAGCCTAAATAATAAAATTTATGCTTGATCTTCCTGGAAATATTTTTCCAATTTGTGAAAATTTCCTCATGTTGTAAGCCTAGAGAGTTGTAGACTAAGCTGTGGACTATAGTTTTAATATAGGAGTGATGGGGCAAAGGGGATATCATGGAGGATCAGTCATACTTTTTTGGTAATGTGTTAAAATATACATAACATAAAATTTATTGTTTTTAGCATTTTAAAACATACAATTCAGTGGCATTAAGTACATTTACAGTGTTGTGCAACCATCCTCAGTATCTAGGTCCATAACTTTTCCATCACCCCAGATGGAAACCCCATATCCATTAAGCAGTCAGTTCCCATTCCCTGTCAGGCTTCTTTTGTGAGGCAAAGATTGGAGGGGGAGACCAGTTACAGGCTTTTACAGCAGTGTGGGTAAAAGATACTGGTTGCTTGGATTAGGATGGTGACAAAAAAAGTTAAAATTATATATGCATGTATTTTCTTTTAATTTAACTATTTACCCAGTTGGATGCCCTGTAAATTTGTAAAGCCAATGTAAACTTATGTTTTCCTAGGTGTTCTTCAGATGATGCAGACGAGAATTGGGGCTTTACAGGGAGCTGTTGATAGGTACTGTTCTTAATTTTATAAATAAATGGAATGGGAATGTTTTTATCCATTGATATTCTGAAAATGATTTTATTCTCACTCCTCTCTTTTCCTGTAGGATAAAAGCAAAAATTGTTGAACCATACAATAAGATAGTTGCCCGGACTGCACAACTAGCAAGACTTCAGGTAGTTTCTTACTTTTATTTCTTTATACTTTATTATTCATTTTGTTTTCATAAGTGGACAAAATTTAAGAGTATGAGTTTGGAAGAAGTAAGAGAATGGGAACAGAAGGTAAGAGAAAAGGAGAAAAAAATACTAAAAAGCCTTAAGATGTCTAGCTCAAAAAATACAAATCTAAAGCAAATTCTTTTCACTGTCATTGCAGTGTATAATTGTTTATTAACTTATATCTTCTTCAATTTCTTTCATCAATGTTTTATAGCTTTCAATGTATAGATGCTTCACCTCCTTGGTTAAATTTATTTCTAACTTTTTTTTTTTGTAGCTATTGTAAATGGGAAATGGGATTGTTTTTCTGATTATTTCTTTGGATAGTTCATTGTTAGTGTATAGAAATGCTACTGATTTTTGTATGTTAATTTTGTATCCTCTGACTTTACTGTATGCATTTATTCTAGCACTCTTTTGGTGGAGTCTTTAGGGTCCTTTATCTAGTTTTCTGTCTAAAGGATCATGCTGTCTGCAGACAGGGATAATTTTACTTCCCTTCAGATTTGGATGCCTTTTATTTCTCACTTGCCTAATGGCTCTGGCCAGGACTTCCAGTGGCTATGTTGATGAATAGTAGTGGTGAGAGTGTGCATCCTTGTTTTGTTCCTGATCTTAGAGGAAAAGCTTTCAACTTTTCACTGTTGATTATGATGTTAGTTGTGGGCTGGTCGTATATGGCCTCTATTGCGTTGAGGTACGTTCCTTCTATAGAGTTTTTTTTGAGTTTTTAACACGATGTGTTGTTGAATTTTACCAAGTGCCTTTTCTGCATCTATCAAAATGATCATATGATTTTTGTCTTTCATTCTGTTAGTGTGGTATATCATTTATTGATTTGCACATGTTGAACTATCCCTGCACCCCAGAGATAAATCTCACTTGATCATGGTGAATGATTCTTCTAATGTGCTACTGAATTCGATTGGCTAGTATTTTGTTGAGGATTTTGCATCTGTGTTGATCAGGAATATTGACCTGTAATTTTCTTTTCCTGTAGTGTCTTTGTCATTAACAGAAGGGTAATATTGGCCTAATAAAATGAGTTTGGAAATACTTTTCCATCTTTGATTTTTTTGGGGAGAGTTTTAGAAGGATTGGTATTAGTTTTTCTTTAAATGTATGGTAGAATTCAACAGTAAAGCCATCAAGTCCTGGGCTTTTCTTTGTTAGGAGACTTTTTATTACTGATTTAATCTCTGTACTCACTATTGATCTGTTAAGATTTTGTTTCTTTATGATTCAATTTTTGTAAGTTGTATATGTCTAGAAATGTATCAGTTTCTTCTAAGTTATCCAGTTTGTTGGCATATATTTGTTCATAGTAGTTTCTTATAATTCTTTATATTTTTGTAATATCAGTTGTAATGTTTCTTTTTTCATTTCTGGTTTTGAGATTTCTTTTTTTTCTTAGTCTAGCTAAAGTTTTATTGATTTGATTTATCTATTCAAAACACCAACTCTTATAGCAAGGCATGGTGACACGCCTGTAGTCCCAGATACTCGGGAGGCTGAGGCAGAAGAATTGCTTGAGCCTGGGAGGTGGAAGTTGCAGCGAGCCAAGATTGCACCATTGTACTGGAGCCTGGACAAAAGAGCGAGACCTTGTCTCAAAAAAAAAAAAAAAAAACAAAAAACCAAAACACAACTCTTGGTTTTATTAATCTTTATTGTTTTCCTAGTCTGTATTTAATTTATTTCTGCCCTGATCTTTATTATTTTCTTCCTTCTACTAACTTTGGGCTTTGTTTGTTCTTTTTCTAGTTCTTGAGGTTTAATACTAGGTTATTTATTTGAAATCTTTTTTGATGTAGACATTTATTGCTGTAAACTTTCGTCTTAGAACTGCTTTTGCTGCATCCCATAACTTTCGGTATGTTGTGTCATTTGTCTCAAGACATTTTAAAACTTCTCTTTTAATTTCTTTTTTGATCCATTGGTTGCTCATAAGCATGTTGTTTATTTTTTTTGAGAAATTTTTGGTGAATTTTTCGAAATCCATCCTTTATTGATTTCTAGTTTAATACCATTGTGGTTGGAAAAGATATTTGATATGATCTCAGTCTTCTTAAGTTTGTTAAGCCTTATTTTCTGGTCTAACATATGATCTATCCTGAAAAAAGTTCCATGTGCATTTGAGAAGAATGTGTATTCCGCTGCTGTTGGACGGAGTGTTCTGTATTTGTTCAGTTTATTTGTTTTAGAGTGTAGTTAAAGTCTGTTGTTTCAAAATTGATTTGTTGGTTTTTTTCTTTCTTTTCTTTTCTTTTTTTTTTTTTTTTTTTTGAGATGGAGTCTCACTCTCTCACCCAGGGTGGAGTGCAATGGCCTGATCTCTGCTCACTGCAACCTCCACCTCCCAGGTTCAAGCCATTCTTCTGCCTCAGCCTCCCGAGTAGCTGGGATTACAGGTGCCCGCCACCACGCCTGGCTAATTTTTGTATTTTTGGTAGAGATGGCATTTCGCCTTCTTGGCCAGGCTGGTCTCGAACTCCTGACCTCGGGTGATCTGCCTGCCTTGGCCTCCCCACGTGCTAGGATTACAAGTGTGAGCCACTGCACCCAGCCTATTTTCTTTCAGCACTTTGAATAGATCATCCCTGTCTCTCCTGGCTTATAAGATTTCTACTGAGAAATCTGTTCATAGCCATCTTGGGATTCCTTTGTATGTGATATGCTTCTTTTCTCTTGTTGCTTTCAAGATCCTCTCTGTTTTTGATTTTTGACAATTTGATTGTAATATATCTTGGGGTAGTCTTGTTTACATTGAACCTGATTGGAGATCTTTGAGTTTCCTATACCTGGATATTTTTTACATTCCACAGATTTGGGGAATTTTTGTTATTATTTTTTAAAATAAACTTTCTTCTCTCTCTGCTCCTTCTGGGACACCCATAACATATAAATTGGTTTGCTTGATGGCATCCCGTAATTCTCAAAGGCTTTCTTTACTCTTTTTCTTTTTTCTTTTTGTTCCTCTGACTGGATCATTTCAAATAACCCCTTTTCAAGCACACTGATTCTTTTATGTGATTGAGTCTACTGTTGAAGCTCTCTTTGGAATTTTTTTAGTTCAGTCATTGTGTTCTTTAGTTCCAGAATTTCAGTTTGGTTCATTCTTATGGTTTCTGTTTCTTTGTTGAACTTCTCATTTTGTTTGTTTATTGTTTTCCTGATTTTGTGTACTTGTCTAGTTGTATTGTCTTGTAGTTCATGGAGTTTTTAAAAGATGATTATTTTGAATTGCTTGTTAGGCAGCTCATAAACCTCAATATCTTTAATGTTTGTTCCTTTGGTGGTGTTATGTTTCCCTGATTGTGATTCTTGTTGCCTTGTATTGGTGCCTGCACATTTGAAGAAGTAGGAACTTACTCCACTCTTTGCAGACTGGCTTTGGCTGGCAAAGTTCTTCACCAATTAGCCTGACCAGAGATCCTAGGCAGGCTTTCTGGTGTGGTCTGTGGGCAGGCTTACTGCTGGTGTCTTCAGGCAGGCTGTTGTGGTACCTAGGTTAGCAGGTGCACAGGTCTGGTGCTTGGGTCCATGAGGTTTGGTCTGCAGACTATATTTACTGGGGCAAATGTGGGTCATGAGTTTGCTGGAGCAGACTTAGATCCAGGGTTCACAGTGCCAAGCTGGCCCCTTGTGGAGTGGACACGTTGACTATTAGGGCCCTAGTCCACAAGAGCTGGTCTGAAGCCTGGTCCCTTGGGAGCTGACCTGGCACTTGGACCGGCCTTTAGCTTGAATCTGCAGGAGCCAACCAGTTGCTGGCACCTGGGACCTTGGGGATGGGCCTGGAGCCTGAGTCCACAATGCCTGGCTTTCACTGGCACCTGGGACCATGGGGGTGGGCCTGGAGTCTGTGAGTCAGGCCTGGTCTTGGGTTTACCAGGGTTAGCCTGGAGCTTGGGTTTGCAAGGGTGGTCCTGGAGCCTTGGTCTGCTGAAATAAGCCTGGACTCTGGGTCCACTGAAGGCTGCAGTCTGTGGGTGCTTGCTTTGTGCCTGGAGCCATGAGGGTCTTCCTAGAGGCTGGGTGAGTGAGTGCTGGCCTGGAGGCTGGGTCTGCAAGGGCTTGCCTGGAGACTGGGCCACTGAGGCAGGTGTGAGTCATCAGGTCTTGGGGGCAGGCCTGGCACTGGGTTCTGCTGTGATGAGCCTGGACCCTGGGTTTGCCAGAGGAGGCCAGGTTCTGCTGGGATGGACCTGGACCCTGGCTCTGCCAGAGGAGCCTGAACTTTGTGTCTGTTGGAGTGTGGGGCCACAGGGGCTGACTTGGAATGTGGACCCGTAGGGCAGGCTTGGAGCCTGTGTCCTTGTGTGCTGGCCTGGTGTCTGAGGCCACAGGTGCCAACCTGATGCGGGGCAGACCTGGTGTTTGGGGCCACTTGGGCTGGTCTGGAGCATGAGTATTCAGGGGCTGGCCTGGTGCTGGAAGTCTGAGTGCTAACCTGGCACTAGGGCTAGCCTAACATCTTGGGCTATGCAGGGTTGCCTGGTGCTGGGTTGGGCCTGGAGCCTGAGTTGGGATTAGCCTGAAGCCGAGGGCTGGTCTGGGGCCTGGGGTCACTGGGACCAGCCTGGTATTGGAGTGGGCCAGGAGATGTAGTCTGGAAGTACTGGCCTGGAGTCGGGCGGGGGCAGCCTGCCCAACACAATTTTAATGGGGCAGGCCTAGTGTTGGGGCTGAGGCAAAGTCCAGTGCTCAATTCCTTCTCTTTTCTCTCCTCAACGAGCATCTGTCTCCTTGCTAGCTGGCTGGTGTTGGGGGACGCAGGTAATGTAATACTGTCCTTCCTACTCTCTTCAATGTGCCTCTTTTTATTTCTGTGCTGTATTCACGTGCTGTAATGTCTTACCTGGTTTCTTTAACTTTTGTGAAGATGTTTTTGTGTATGGATAGTGGTTCAAATTAATGTGTCTGCAAGCTGGAGTCCTGGAAAGTCTTCCTCTGCCATCTTACTAATGTCACTCATAAACATATCACATTGATTTTTTTTAACTAAAAATTATGCTTTAATACCCTGTTTTTTGGAAAGTATTATCCTTTTTTGAATTCATCTATATTGCTTTTCCCTTTTTTTTTTTTTTTGAGACAGAGTTGTGCTCTGTTGCCTAGGCTGGAATGCAATGGAGCGATCTTGGCTCACTGCAGCCTCCGCCTCCCAGGTTCAAGGATTCTCCTGCCTTAGCTTCCCAAGTAGCTGGGATTACAGGCACCTGCCACCACATTTGGCTATTTTTTTGTTGTGTTTTTAGTAGAGACAGAGTTCACCATGTTGGCCAAGCTGGTCTCGAACTCCTGACCTCAAGTGATCCACCTGCCTCGGCCTCCCAAAGTGCTGGGATTACAGGCGTGAGCCACCATGCCTGGCCTTGCTTGTTTTGTTTCATTTTTATTGCTGTAGAATATGTCATTATATGAATATTCTGCTTATGGAATTTGGATTGTTTCCAGATTGGGACCATTATGAGTAATATGGCTGTGAAAACTTTTTTACAAATATATGTTGGCTCATGCTAATACCCCTTTGTGTAAGTTATATCCTGGGAGTGAGATTTCTGGGTTATAGGGTTTCTGATTTTCAACTTTATTAGATAATGCCAAACTATTTTACCAAATGGTTATACCACATATGCTATCAGTATATGAGAGTTCCTTTTAGTTTGTATCCTTGTCAACACTTAGTGTTGTCAAACTTGTTAGTTTTTGCTAATATTTTAGGTGTGTGGTGGTATCTTGTTGTGGTTTTGTTTTTCTAAGAGCTAATTACTAAGGAGATTGAACCTCTTGTAAGTCATCTATTATGTGTGTTTCAGATATTCCTCTGCCTATCCATTTTTTTCTCCTTCTCGCTCTTGTCTGTTGTTGGAGAGAAGTTAAATTTATCTAATTTTTCTTTTATGGTTAGTTCTCTTTTATGAAAAATTCTCACAAGATAACTTTCTCTACCCTGAAGCTATGAAGATATTGTATATTGCCTTCAAAAGCACGTATTGTTTTGCCTCATATGTTTAGATCTATAATCTACCTGAAATTGCTTGTAAATTTACTAATCTTTTTAATTAAGTATGTAATCTGCTGTTAATCCCATCCTGTGTGTTTTTATAGTTTTTTTTTTTTTTTCTTTTTTGAGATGGAGTCTCACTCTGTTGCCCAGGCTGGAGTGCAGTGGCACCATCTCGGCTCACTGCAACCGCGCCTCCTGGCTTCAAGCAATTCTTCTGCCTCAGCCTCCTGAGTAGCTGGGAGTACAGGTGCCTGCCACCATGCCCAGCTAATTTTTGTATTTTTAGTAGAGACAGGGTTTCAACATATTGGCCAGGCTGGTCTCGAACTTCTGACCTCGTGATCCGCACGCCTCAGCCTCCCAAAGTGCTGGGATTACAGGTGTGAGCCACCATCCCCGGCCTATAGTTTTCATCTCTAGTTTATATTTGTGTCTTTTTATATCTTCTCTTTCTGTTATGACATTTATATTTCAATTTCATTTATATAAATACACACACGCATAAATACATATATATATATATATATATTTTTTTTTTTTTTTTTTTTTTTTTTTTGAGACAGGGTCTCACTCTGTTGCCCAGGCTGGAGTGCAGTGGCACGATCTCAACCCACTGCAATCTCTTCCTCCCAGGCCCAAGCTATCCTCCCATCTCAGCCTCCTGAGTAGCTGAGACTATGGGCATGCACCACCACACCCAGCCAATTTTTGTATTTTTTGTAGAGACCGGGTTCTGTCCTGCTGCTCAGGTTGGTCTCGAACTCCTGAGGTCAAGCATTCCACCTGTATTGGCCTCCCAAAGTGCTGGAATTACAAGTATGAGCCACTGTGTCCGGCTGACATTCATGTTTTCATTTACCTTCTTGAACATATACATGTTTATAAATTTTTTTTTTTTTTTCAAGACAGAGTCCCGCTCTGTTGCCCAGGCTGGGGTGCAGTGGCAGGATCTTGGCTCACTGCAACCTCCGCCTCCTGGGTTCAAGTGATTCTCCTGCCTAAACCTCCTGAGTAGCTGGGATTACAGGCATGTGCCACAACACCTGGCTAATTTTTGTATTTTGAGTAGAGATGGGGTTTTACCATATTGGCCAGGCTGGTCTTGAACTCTTGACCTCAGGTGATCCGCCTGCCTCAGCCTCCCAAAGTGCTGGGATTATAGGCATGAGCCACCGTGCCCGGCCTATAAAATATATTTTAACATTTAATTCTTTATTATTTCTAGGTTTGTTTTTGTTGATTGACTTTTCTTCTTGTTTCTTGTTATGGGTTTTATGTGTTTTGCTTCTTTACATACCTGGTAATTTTTTATTGGATATTAGAAATGTGTATTTTATGTTTAGGGTTCCTAGATTATTTAAAATTTCTTTTAAATAATGTTGGACTTTTTTCTGGTTCACACTTAAGTTACTTGGAATCAGTTTGATCTTTTTTTTTTTATTTAATTTTAATTTTTATTTATTTATTTATTTTTTGAGACAGGGCCTTGCCCTGTCACTTGGGCTGGAGTATAGTGGGGCAGTCTTGACCCACTGTAACCTCTAAGTGCTGGGCTCAAGCAATCCTCCTGCCCCAGCCTCCCAAGTAGCTGGGACTAAAGGCACACACTACCATGCCCAGCTAATTTTTTTTTTTTTTTTATTGTAGAGATGGGAGTCTCACCATGTTGCCTAGGCTGATTTCAAACTCCTGGCCTCAAGTGATACTCCTACCTGGCCTCCCAAAATGCTGGGATTGCAGGCATGAGCCACCATTAATCTTTTTGAGATTTAGTTTTAAATCTTTGTTAGTACAGGTCCAGAACAGCCTTTAGCCTAGGGCTAGTTTAGCCCTGTTTACTATTAGGTCTTTCTACTGTTGTTTCAGTGTTTCTTTTCCTGTGCTTCCTCTCACACATGCACAGATTGGTACTCAGAAGACTGGAAGCTATTTTTCTGCTTATCTGCACAACCTCTGTTTTTGCAGCTTTTCTCCAATTCTCTGCCCATAAACACTAGCTTTTTTGGCTTTCTTGAAATGTAATCTCTACTTCCCAACTTCAGAGAGACTGTCATGCTCTGTTTCCCTTGCCTTCCCTTTGCTGTGGCCTGAAAATTGTCTCCCAGTGGTAATCTGAGACAATTGTTAAGCTCATTTTCTTGTTTCTCTCAAAGATCACAGACCTGTGTTTTCTGTTATCCAATTATTGTCCAATTATTCATTCCTGTTGTTCTAAAATTATTTCGTGTATTTTGTTCAATTTTCTAGTTGTTTAAAATGGAAAAGTAAGTCTGACCCTATTCCATCATTGTTAGAAGTCACACTCATTATTAAAAATTGAGTTATAAGTTACATACCATAAAATAATCACTTTAACATGTACAGTTTAGGGGTTTTTACTATATTCACAAGATTGCATCTTGTGAATACAATATCTAATTATACTATAATATTATCTAATGCCAGAATATTTTCATTACCCAAAAAAGAAACTCTATGCCCATTAGCAGTTACTCCCTCTATCCACTTCTCTACGCCAAGCTCTCAACTAATCTGCACTAATCTGCAGTCTTCCTTTTTGGATTTCCCTATTCAGGACATTTCATGGAAATTGATCATTCATTATGTAGTATTTGCCTTCTTAATGTAATGTTTTCAAGGTTCATCCATATTGTAGCATATGTCAGTACAGTAAGTTCTTATTTAATGTCATTGATAGGTTCTTGGAAACTGCAACTTTAAGTAAAAGAACATACAGCAGGTCCTTGAATAACATGTCATTTCATTATAACACTGAGGAGGAAAAAACTGGGTTTCATTATACGTTGCTTTGTTGTTGTTGTTTTTTGAGACAGGGTCTTGCTCTGTCATCCAGGCTGGAGTGCAGCCTCTTGAGTAGCTGAGACAACAGGCACGCACCACCATGCCCAGCTAATTTTTTTTTAAATTTTAATTTTTTTTAGACAGTGTCTCTCACTATGTTGCCCAGGCTTGTCTCAAACTTCTGGACTCAAGTGATCCATCTTCCTCAGCCTCCCAAAGTGCTGGGATTACAGGAGTGAGCCGCCTGGTCCATTGTTTTCACTTAAAGTCAAAAGAACCAGTTGATGATGTTTAATGAGGACTTAGGTACTTCTTTACTTATATGGTCAAATAATATATCATTTTATGAATATATCACATTTTGTTTATCCATTCAATTTGTTTATCCTTTCATCAGTTGATGAATATTTAGGTTGTTTCTACTTTTTAACTATTTTGAGTAGACTGCTAAGAACAAACGTTGCATAAATAATATTTGTGTGTGCTTTTTTTTTTTTCAATTCTTGGGTATATACCTGAGAGCATATTATGCTAGGTCATATGCTAACTCTATGTTTAACATTTTGAGGAATGCCAAACTATTTCCAAGGCAACTGGACTGTTTTCCATTATTACCAACAATGTATGAAGATTCTAATTTCTGTACTTTTTTTTAATACTGCCATCTTATTGAAGTGGCATCGTTGTCTTGAGTAAATAGCTGAGTTTTGTTGTCTTACAGCCACACAAAACTAGGACGCAGACACACAAATAGTGATGTTCAGAGTGGAAGTTTAATAGGCGAAAGAAAGAGAAGAGCTCTCTCTGCTGCAGAGAGGGGTCCTGGAGAACTGGGTTGCTGCTTTTATTGTGAAATGCAGTTGAGTTTTATAGATGAGCTTGAGGAGGCAGTGTCTAATTTACATAGGGCATGAAAGATTGGTCAGACCAGGTGTGCTATTTGCCTAAGGTGCAAAAAACTAGTTAGGGCTAGGTGTGCCACTTGCATAGCATGTGAAAAAGCTGGCCGCCCTGCCCTAATCTTTTATTATGCAGATGAATTCTCTGGCTGGCTGGTGCTGTGTTGCCTGCTTCTTTACTGTACATGTGGTTACAAAGAAAAGCAAAGATGGAGCCTCCATGTTGAACATACCTGGCTTCCAGGTAGCCCTTTTCTATTGACACAGCTGCTGGCATTCACCTGTTCAATTTCCAGCTTGCTTATCTATGTCTGTAGCTCGATTTTTCAGGCTGCTCTTTGTCAGAAAAGAAATGATTTGGGAGCTGCTTTTTGTTAAAAGGGAAATTCTGCCAAGGACTCTGTTGCCCTTATTGTCTGCCTAAATAATTTCTATCTCCTGTATCATTATTGGGTATGAAGTAGTATCTCATTGTCATTTTGATTTGCATTTTCCTAATGGCTAATGATATTGAGCATCTTCTGTGGTGCCTTTTGGCCATTTATGTATCTTCCTTGGAGACATGTCTATTCAAATAATCCTTTGCTCTTTTTTTTTTCTTTCTTTTTTTTTTAAATTATACTTTAAGTTCTGGGATACATTTGCAGAATGTGCAGGTTTGTTACATAGGTATACATGTGCCATGGTGGTTTGCTGCACCCATCAACCCATTATCTACATTAGATATTTCTTCTAATGCTATCCCTCCCCCTTGGCCCCACCCCCTGACAGGCCCTGGTGTGTGATATTCCCCTCCCTGTGTCCATGTATTCATTGTTCAGCTCCCACTGATGAGTGAGAATATGCAGCGTTTGGTTTTCTCTTCCTGTGTTAGTTTGCTGAGAATGATGGTTTCCAGCTTCATCTTTGTCCCTGCAAAGGACATGAGCTCATTCTTTTTTATGGCTGCATAGTATTCCGTGGTGTATATGTGCCACATTTTCTTTATCCAGTCTAACGTTGATGGACATCTGGGTTGGTTCCAAGTCTTTGCCATTGTGAACAGTGTTGCAGTAAACATACGTGTGTGTGTATCTTTATAGTAGAATGATTTATAATCCTTTGGGTATAGAATGATTTATAATCCTTTGGGTATATACCCTGTAATGGGATTGCTGGTCAAATGGTATTTCTTGTTCTAGATTCTTGAGAAATAGCCTCACAATGGCTGAACTAATTTACACTCCCACCAACAGTGTAAAGTGTATAAGGAAGGGCTCCAGTTTCAGTTTTCTGCATACAGCTAGCCAGTTTTCCCAGCACCATTTATTAAATAGGGAATCCTTTCCCCATTGCTTGTTTTTGTCTGGTTTGTCAAAGATCAGATGGTTGTAGATATGTGGTGTTATTTCTGAGGCCTGTTCCATTGATCTATATTTCTATTCCATTGGTCTATGTATCTGTTTTGGTATCAGTACCATGCTGTTTTGGTTACTGTAGCCTTGCAGTATAGTTTGAAGTCAGGCAGTGTGATGCCTCTAGCTTTGTTCTTTTTGCTTAGGATTGCCTTGGCTATATGGGCTCTTTTTTGGTTCCATATGAAATTTAAAGTAGTTTTTTCTAATTCTGTGAAGAATGTCAATGGTAGCTTGATGGGAATAGTATTGAATCTATAAATTATTTTGGGCAGAATGGCCATTTTCATGATATTGATTCTTCCTATCCATGAGCATGGAATGTTTTTCCATTTGTTCGTGTCCTATCTTATTTTCTTGAGGAGTGGTTTGTAGTTCTCCTTGAAGAGGTCCTTCACATCTCTTGTAAGTTGTATTCCTAGGTATTTTATTCTCTTTGTAGAAATTGTGAATGGGAGATTGCTCATGATTTGGCTCTCTATTATTGGTGTATAGGAATGCTTGTGATTTTTGCACATTGATTTTGTATCCTGAGACTTCACTGAAGTTGCTTATCAGCTTAAGGAGTTTTTGGGCTGAGACGATGGAGTTTTCTATATATACAATCATGTCATCTGCAAACGGAAATAATTTGATTTCCTCTCTTCCTATTTGAATACCCTTTATTTCTTTCTCTTGCCTGATTGCCCTGGCCAGAACTTCCAATAATATGTTGAATAGGAGTGGTGAGAAGGGGCATCCTTGACTTGTGCCAGTTTTCAAAGGGAATGCTATGGGTTTACCATAAATAGCTCTCATTATTTTGAGATATGTTCCATCAATACCTAGTTTATTGAGTGTTTTTAGCATGAAGGGCTGTTGAATTTTGTGGCCTTTTCTGCATCTGTTGAGATAATCATGTGGTTTTTGTCATTGGTTCTGTTTATGTGATGGATTATGTTTATTGATTTGCATATGTTGAACCAGCCTTGCATCCCAGGGATTAAGCCGAGTTGATCATGGTGGATAGGCTTTTTAATGTGCTGCTGGATTCAGTTTGCCAGTATTTTATTGAGGATTTTCACATTGATGTTCATCAGGGATATTGGCCTGAAATTTTTTATGTTGTGTCTCTGCCAGATTTTGGTATCAGAGTGATGCTGACCTCATAAAATGAGTTAGGGAGGAGTCTCTCTTTTTCTATTGTTTAGAATAGTTTTAGAAGGAATGGTACCAGCTCCTCTTTGCAACACCTCTAGTAGAATTCAGCTGTTGATCTGTCTGGTCCTGGGCTATTTTTGGTTAGTAGGCTATTAGTGCTTCAATTTCAGAACTTGTTATTGGTCTATTCAGGGATTCAACTTCTATCTGGTTTAGTCTTGGGAGGGTGTATATGTCCAGGAATGTATCCATTTCTTCTGGATTTTCTGGTTTATTTGCATAGAGGTGTTTATGGTATTCTGTGATGGTAGTTTGTATTTCTGTGGGATCAGTGGTGATATCCCCTTTATCATTTTTGATTGTGTCTATTTGATTCTTCTCTTTTCTTCTGTGTTAGTCTGGCTAGTGGTTTATTTTGTTAGTCTTTTCAAAAAACTAGCTCCTGGATTCATTGATTTTTTTTGAAGGGTTTTTCATGTCTCTATCTCCTTCAGTTCTGCTCTTAGTTATTTCTTGTCTTCTGCTAGATTTTGCATTTGTTTGCTCTTGCTTCTCTAGTTCTTTTAATTGTGATGTTAGGGTGTCAATTTTAGATCTTTCCCACTTTCTCCTGTGGGCATTTAGTGCTATAAATTTCCCTCTAAACACTGATTTAGCTGTGTCCCAGAGATTCTGGTATGTTGTGTCTTTGTTCTCATTGGTTTCAAAGAACTGATTTATTTCTGCCTTAATTTTGTTATTTGCCCAGTAGTCATTCAGGATCAGGTTGTTCAGTTTCTATATAGTTGTGCGGTTTTGAGAGAATTTCTTAATCCTGAGTTTTAGTTTGGTTGCACTGTGGTCTGAGAGACTGTTGGTTATGATTTCCATTCTTTTACATTTCCTGAGGGGTGTTTTACTTCCAATTATGTGGCCAATTTTAGAATAAGTGCTGTGTGGTACTGAGAAGAATGTATATTCTGTTGATTTGGGGTGGAGAGTTCTGTAGATGTCTATTAGGTCTGCTTGGTCCAGAGCTGAGTTCAAGTCCTGAATATCCTTGTTAATTTTCTGTTTCGTTGATCTGACTAATATTGACATTGGGGTGTTAATGTCTCCCACTGTTACTGTCTGGGAGTCTAAATCTCTTTGTAGATCTCTAAGAACTTGGTTATGAATCTGGGTGGTCCTGTATTGCGTGCATATATATTTAGGATAGTTAGCTCTTCTTGTTGCATTGATCCCTTTACCATTATGTAATGGGCTTCTTTGTCTTTTTTGATCTTTGTTGGTTTAAAGTCTAAACAGTCAGAGACTAGGATTGCAACCCCCACTTTTTTTTTTTTTGCTTTCCATTTGCTTGGTAAATATTCACCCATCCCTTTATTTTCAGCCTATATGTGTCTTTACACATGAGATGGATCTCCTGAATTCATCACATGAATGGGTCTTAACTCTATCCAATTTGCCAGTCTGTGCCTTTTAATTGGAGCATTTAACCCATTTAAATTTAGGATTAATATTGTTATGTGTGAATTTTATCCTGTCATTATGATGCTAGCTTGTTATTTTGCTCATTAGTTGATGCAGATTCTTCATAGTGTTGATGGTCTTTAACTTTTGGTTTGTTTTTGCAGTGGCTGGTACCAGTTTTTCCTTTTGATATTTAGTGCTTCCTTCAGGAGCTCTTGTAAGGCAAGCCTGGTGGTGATAAAATCTCTCAGCATCTGCTTGTCTGTAAAGGATTTTATTTCTACTTTGCTTATGATGCTTAGTTTGGCTGGATATGAAATTCTGGGTTGAAAATTCTTTTCTTTAAGAATGTTAAGTATTGGCTGCTACTCTCTTCTGGCTTGTAGGGTTTCTACAGAGAGATCTGCTGTTAGTCTGATGGGCTTCCCTTTGTGGGTAACCTGACCTTTCTCTTGGGCTGCTCTTAACATTTTTTCTTTCATTTCAACCTTGGTGAATCTGATGATTATCTGTCTTGGGGTTGTTCTTCTTGAGGAGTATCTTAGTGGTCTTCTCTGTATTTCCTGAATTTGAATGTTGGCCTGTCTTGCTAGGTTAGGGAAGTTCTCCTGGATAATATCTTGAAGTGTGTTTTCCAACTTGGTTCCATTCTCCCCATCGCTTTCGGGTACAGCAATCAAATGTAGGTTTGGTCTTTTCACATAGTCCTGTATTTCTTGGAGGCTTTGTTTGTTCTTTTTCATTCTTTTTTCTCTGATCTTTTCTTCATGCTTTATTTCATTAAGTTGATCGTCAGTCTCTGATATCCTTTCTTCCACTTGATCTATTCGGCTATTGATACTTGTGTATGCTTCACGAAGTTCTCCTGCTGTTTTTCAGCTCAATCAGGTCATTTATGTTCTTTAAACTGGTTATTCTAGTTAGCAATTCCTCTAACCTTTTTTTCAAAGCTCTTAGCTTCCTTGCATTGGGTTAGAACATGCTCCTGTAGCTTGGAGGAGTTTGTTATTACCCGCCTTCTGAAGTCTCCTTCTGTCAATTTGTCAAACTGATTCCCCATCCACTTTTGTTCCCTTGCTGGTGAGGCGTTGTGATCCTTTGGAGGAGAAGAGGTATTCTGGTTTTTGGCATTTTCAGCCTTTTTGTGCTGGTTTTTCCTCATCTTCGTGGATTTATCTACCTTTTGGTCTTTGCTGTTGGTGACCTTTGGATGGAGTTTTTGCATGATGTTGGTGTTGATGCTATTGCTTTCAGTTTATTAGTTTTTCTTCTAACAGTCAGGCCCCTCTGCTGCAGGTCTGCTGGAGTTTGCTGCGGGTCCACTCCAGACCCTGTGTCCTTGAGTATCACCAGTGGAGGCTGCAGAACAGCAAAGACTGACTAGAAAAAAATCACCGTGAGACTAGTGTTAAGCATGAGAACTAGTATTAAATGAAAGTTATAAAGAATAGTGTGTAATGACTATATGTTTTGGCAAAGAAATATAATTCAGCTGTAAAAAACAGTGGGAAGAGCATATGCAAAAAATTTTAAAAACTATTTTCTGCCATCATACTTTTGACTGTAGTGTTTGTTTTGTTGCTCAGGTATTTTCTGTGTATTGTGCAGCAGAGCAAATGAATAATTATACATTATTCTAATTTTGTTATCTCCTGTGTCCTTGAGAGCTAGGAATCTTAATGTGGAAGAAATTATATACTGTTTATATTTATATAGATGTAAGAAGGCTAAATCCTCTACTTCTGATTTTTAATTAGAAGTATCAGTATGAACTTGAGATTCTTTAATGTCATTTAAAAATAGTATATACCTTATATTTGTGTGTATATATATATTTGTGCATATGTATATGTATGTTAATCTGAGAATGTTTTATGTGTATTGTGGCATAAATCAAATGAATATTTATGTGATATTTTAATGCTGGCATTTCCTTGCTATGTCTATGGAAAAGTCCCAGAAATGAACAAACCTAGTTCTGTGAATGTGGTCTTGAAATGCTGTTTTCTGCCTGGGTGCAGTGGTCCATTCCTATAATCCCAGCACTTTGGGAGGCCAAGGCAGGTGGATCACATGAGGTCAGGAGTTCGAGATCAGCCTGGCCAACATGGTGAAACCCCATCTCTACTAAAAATACTAAAATTAGTCAGGCATGGTGGCAGACACATGTAATCCCAGCTACTCAGGTGGCTGAGGCAGGAGAATCGCTTGAACCCTGGAGGGGGAGGTTGCAGTAAGCCAAGGTTGTGCCATTGTACTCTAGCCTGGGCGACAAAAGCGAAACCGTCTCAAAAAAAGAAAAAAAGTAATGCTGTTTTCTACTAAAAGAAACCAGGGCTTCTTTGAGAAATCTTTGATTCCAGGTCTGGGGCATGAAATGTATAAAATGATCCTGGAACATTTTTATACCAGATACCAAGGAGGCTATCAACGACTGCTCGGTTCATGACAAAGGAACTCAGGAACTGACTTGAATAGGCTTTGGGTGACCAGCTATTTTAGTTTTACTACTGAAAGTCCTAAAACTTGGGAAACTTCTCAGTCTCAGGCAAAGTGGTACAGTTAATCACTCTCAGAGGCTTCTGCTGGCCGAAATGGAACACTTTGAGCATCAATAAGGATAAGAGCCATGATGGGTTGGGCATCCCTTATTATGTTTAAATCAATTTCATAATGATATCAAAAAAAAAAAAAAGCAAAACCCCAGAACACCCACCTCCCCCCCGCCCTCACCGACTAATTTTTCATTATTGGTGAATATTAGGAAATTATTTCTTCATTTTGAAAACTAATAAGGGAAAGATTAAGTATTTATTTTTAGTTTTCAGTATGAACAATACTCCTAGGTAAACAAATAGTCAATGAGGTAAAGTTTATTTTTATAGAGAAATTTCATATGCTTATAAATACAAAATGACAGAATTGGATTATTACTATTTTGCAGTCACTTATGTTTCAGTGGATTTTGACATTGAATATCAGTGGCTGATACTCAACACAAAAAGAGAGAAAATCATACATCTCTTAAAATATACCACCCTCTAATGTTTAATCTTGCCAAAAATACTAAACTTAAATCTGATGAAGCTGCCCGCATCCAACTACTAATTTACAGGTAATATAGAAGATAGAGGAACTTGTTAAACTGCATCAAGGGAATACAGTCAACAAAACCCAGTCTGTGGGAAACTTTAGGACAGATGATCCAATATATTCAACAAATTGCAATGAAAAAAAGAGAAGGTGAGAGAACAGATTAAAAACAAGAAAAATTAAACCATAGCACTTAGGTATTTGTACTTCAGTAATAAAAAAAAAAAGTAAGGAAGTGATTAATGTAAAAGAGTAGTGGTTTCTCTTGGTTGGCATGAAGGGTAATGGCATTGGGAGGGAGTAAATGAGGGCTTCTGTGGTGGCTCACATGATCCTGTCTCCTGATCTGTGTGTTGCTTCTAAGTTCCTTTAGCTGTGTATCTCTGAGTGTGGTTTTCCATGCTTGTGTTATATTTAATAGTAAAAGTCTAAGATAAAAAAACAGGGAGGGAAAGGAAATTGATTGGAGGGGAGGCAGCTATATTGGGAAATGGTGAGAACTGATGCCTTATAGATCAACTTATAATAGCTTAGACTTATTAACTAAGGATTTTATTAAATGGTATTCCCAGAAGATTCAACATAATCTGTAAGTAGAGAGCCATTAAAGTTTACTAAAAAGGGGGTTGGAGTGCTGAAAACTGTGTTTTTTTTTTTTTTTTTTTTTTTTTGAGATGGAGTTTCGCTCTTGTTGCCCAGGCTGGAGTGCAATATCACAATCTCGGCTCATCGCAACCTCCGCCTCCCGGGTTCAAGCGATTCTTCTGCCTCAGCCTCCCAAGTAGTTGGGATTACAGGCATATGCCACCACACCCAGCTAATTTTGTATTTTTAGTAGAAATGGGGTTTCTCCATGTTGGTCAGGCTGGTCTCGAACTCTCGACCTAAGGTGATCCGCCCGCCTTGGCCTCCCAAAGTGATGGGATTACAGGCATAAGCCACTGCGTCCGGCCCAAAAACTGCATTTTTAAGAAGATAAATCTGGCTGGGTGGATTTCAATGAGAGACTTGAAAGCTAGCCGAGAAACCACTATGTAAAGGTAATGGTGATAAAGATGTGGATTAGGGTGATGCTTGTAGGAATAGAGGTAAAATAACAACTTTTGTTTTATGCAGTAGGATAGTTGGTAAGACTTGGTGACAGATTAAGTATGGTTGCTAAAAATAAAAACAGTAGAAATAAAGATTGCATGTTTTGAGAGCATACCCTTTGTTGGGTAGGATTAGGGAATTCTGGATGACAGTCTTAGAGTAAGAGCTTAATTTCTTCTTACGATGTATTTAAAATCTCAGAGGAATGAGATTTTACGTTCCAAATTGTTTATCTAAAAATGTCAGTTCTAACAGGGAAGGTGCTGATAATGTTTCCAGTGCAAGATATCCAAGTTACTGGTGTCGAATCCGTACAGGTCTGCAGCAACCTCAATTCTTGCCTCCTCAGAAGAAAGAATTCGACTGAGGGGCATAAGGCAGAAAAAGAGACCAAGGTACATTTCAGAGCAGGAGTGGAAGTTTATTTAAAAAGGCTTTAGAACAGGAAAGAAAGAAAGGAAAGTACGCTTGGAAGAGTCCCACGTGGGCACTGAGGTCAGGTGCAGTGTTTAACCTTGATCCGAGGACTTTATAGCCTGGCTCCTTTCCCAAGATTCTTCCCTTAGGGTGGGCTGCCCACATGTCCAGTGCCCTCCTTACCCTTAAGAGGTGAGCACAGGCAGTGTGTTTAGGAATTTCTATGCATGCCCACCTGAGGCTTTCTTCCTTTTTCAGGTGGAGTGCCCCCGGAAGGTCATACTCCACCATTTTGTGTCTTAAAGCACATGCCCTGGAAGTTGCTTCTCCCTGGCATTTGCATTCAATTAACACTTT
This sequence comes from Homo sapiens, assembly GCF_000001405.40. NCBI lineage: Eukaryota > Metazoa > Chordata > Mammalia > Primates > Hominidae > Homo > Homo sapiens. The sequence continues at coordinate 375,061 of NW_017852930.1, read as the reverse complement.
AATGCACCAGGCGTGGACCATCAGGAAATGTCCTCTCCCTGGCACTGGCTGCCAATTTATCAGTTTTAGAGAGGCAATGTGATAACTTCCAAATCATCAACCGACGTTCCTAGTGGGTGGGGCAGTAGCCCTCTCCTGCCCCACTCTTGACTGTCTAACTACCTGCAACAATAACAGTGATTGTTTTTGTTAAGTGCATAGTTGGGACAGAGATACGAGGGTGACTTTTCAATGTTATTTCTTTTTATTTCTTGAATTTTGAATCATGTGCTTGTATTATCTATTCAGAAAACGGATAATATTTAATTAAAAGATAAAGATGCCCCAATTGTCAATTTCCATGGGAAAAATTTTCCTTTGGCATTCCTTTTTTTTTTTTTTTATTTAAGTATTTCAGATTAGTTTCTCTGAAAAGCAGTCAGGTAAACATGTTTAATACTTGATTGGCTTTGACTTACATGTGTTTGTAAATATATGTTTGTTTTATGTTTGAGTATGGTGTATGCATACATACGGTGTATTGCTTGTGAGTGCATGGGTGTGGCTGTGTGTGGCTCTGGTGTATGTATTTATTTCACCCATAAAAGAATGTTTATACCTGGAGGTTCAGGGACCCTGGCTTCTCAGAGCTTTTAATTCTTATTGCCACCATGTAGAATTTTTCTCCTTAAACAGGGGAGATGTCCTTGCTTCTCAGTTAGCCTTGGGGCCATTCAAAAATGGTTGTGATGCAGCAGTATGGAATGTCTCTCTTTCCTTTGTAATCACTACTGAGGCTGAAGATCACTACATGTTGGTTATTCAGTATGTCACCCTCTACCACACTCTCCCTCATGCAACTGCTGTGAATCCAGCTTCTGTAATAAAGTGTCCTAAAATACATGAACCTTTATTTCTTATCTCAGCCTTTTGATAGCTAAAGACCTAGTATTAGATCTGGGAAAAGGAATAGGAAGTGTGTGAAATAGTTTTGTTGTTTATGTGCTTTCTCTTTTATAATTTATTAGTGATTAAAAATCACCACGCATGGTGGCTCACACCTGTAATCCTAGCACTTTGGGAGTCTGATGTGGGAGGTTCACCTGAGCCCAGTAGTTTGAGAGCAGCCTGGGCAACATGGCAAAACCTCATCTCCACAAAAAATACAATTAGCCAGGCATGGTGGCACACGCCTGTAGTCCCAGCTACTTGGGAGGCTGAGGCAGAAGGATCGCTTGAGCCCAGGAGGTAGAGGTTGCAGTGAGGTGTGATCATGCCACTGCACTCCAGTTTGGGCAACTGAGCGAGACCCTGTTCTCAAAAAAAAAAAAAAGATTAGGAAAATAATGAAATTGAGAGAAGTTTTAAGACTACTCCTGCAGGATATAGGAAAGAGAAGCTGGGACTGAAAATAACAGGAGGCAGTAGTAGGAAGCTGAGCAACCTAGCATAGTGATTGTCAATTTTGGCTGCACATTGGTACCACCTGGGAATATTAAAAACATGAAAACATAACTCATGCTTGGTTCTAACCCATAGAAATGCTGTTTTAATTGGTCAGGGCTGTGGCCTGGGCATTGGAACATTTTCAGTCTACCCACTTGAATTTGTAATCAAGACTGAGAACCACTGGCCTAGAGAAGAAAGCTGGTTTAGGACTGAAAGAATCCTTGGGTCTCACAGTGCCTCAATTCCAAGTTCTCTCCACTTGGGATGAATTGGAGTTTATTGTAAAATGTAAATATAGTACTTCCGTGTGTTCCCTAGGACATTTGATGCTTTTTAAGACTTGCGATTATTTAGGTTTGTGGTTGGTGGGAAACAAAAAAAGCATGAGTGAATCTTTAGCATCTGGAAAGAATGGGTAGATTCACATATTAAGCACAATGTGAGCCACTGTGTTTTTTTTGTAATTTAAGTTCCGGGATACATGTGCAGGTTTGTTACATAGGTAAACATGTGCCATGGTGGTTTGCTGCACCTATCAACCCACTGTGCTTGTTATTACTATTTATTAATAGTAATAAAACTTCATGGATCAACTAACTTAACATTGTGATGTTTGCACAGGTTGCCTGTGATTTGCTTCGGAGGATTATTCGTATCTTGAATCTCAGTAAGAGACTCCAAGGACAACTGCAAGGGGGAAGTAGAGAGATAACAAAAGCTGCTCAGAGTCTCAATGAACTTGGTAAGTTTTTTTTTTTTTTTAAATAAAAAGTTAGTAGAGATTTAAATATTTTTAAGTCACTTGATTGGTTGACTTTTGTTATCACCATTAGCAAGTACTATTAAACAAATTTTTAAATAATTGGCTGTATACAATATTGTAACACTTCTCAGAATGAGTAAGTACAAGTAGTTGATTTCACTGAAATGCTATTTATTTTAATTATATAGTAAAATTGTCCTTTTTCATATACAGGTCTGTAAATTTTAATACATATACAGATTTATGTAAGCACCATTACAGTCATGATACAGAACAATTCCATCACTCCTCCAGATTCCCTCATTATCCCTTCACGGTGATGCCTACCCGCTTCTGCTAGTCCTGACAGCCACTGATCTTTTCTCCATCATTGTAGTTTTGTCTTTTTGAGAATGACACATAAATGGAATTACAAAGTAGGTGACCTTTTGAGGCTGTCTTCTTGTACTCAAAATAATACCTTTGAGATTTATTCAAGTTTTGGGGTGTACTAATAGTTTGTTACTTTGTGTTTGATTGAATACCATTGTATGAGTAGCCTGCAGTTTGTTTATTGATTCACTGATTGAAGGACATTTGTTGTTGTTTCCAGTTTTTGGTGATTATGAATAGGTGTACAGTTCTTTATGTGAAGTTTTCTTTTCTCTAGGAAATATTCTAGAGAAATGCTGTTTTTAACATGACAAATCCCATGCTGATACTATGCCTAGAAGATTTTAAAAATTTATTTCTTTGTTCATTCTTTTCTCAGACATTTATTGCAGGACCTTGACAGTCAAGAGTTTAATGTTCATGGTTTTGACTATTAACCAGCTGCAAAGTCCATGATGCAGCAGTTCATAATTTTTCAGGCAAAATTTTGAATAGCTAGTGAGTGCACATAGAACTGCCCAACACTTTTAATGTGGCTTGGTGGTTTTCTTCTTTTCACTGGGTACCCACTTATTTTTCTGAAGTGGATATATGTAGTGGCATTTGTACTTTGTAGGCTCAGAAGTCTTTAATTATATCCATTTCAGATATCAAGAGTCTGCTTACTCTTGCTATTGTGCTTTGAAAGCAGTTATGCCAAAATAGTATCAGAGAAATGTACATTACATGTTCTTTCTGAATTTTCCTGTCTTTGATTTTTTGATTATATAGTCATGCTATGCTGTAATGCTTATTCCATATTTTTTGTTAATCAAGGAAATCCTTCACAAATAATGCTTCAACAGCATTGCAATTGTATACTGCTGAAATATAGGTTTTGCTTAGGAAAATCATTGGGAATATCTCTAACTTGTGATTTAGTAGGCTTGGAAAATGTCATATAAAAAGTTGAACTTTTAAGCTGGGTGTGGTGGCTGGTACCTGGAGGCCCAGTTACTTGGGAGGTGGAGGCAGGCAGAATTGCTTGAGGCCAGGAGTTTGAGACCAGCCTGGGTGAACAGAACAGATCTCCTCTTGGCTCTAAAAAGTAAAAATTGAGAAGTAAAGGAAATTAAAACAAAATAAAAGTTGAGCATCATAGCATGTGCCTGCAGTCTCAACTACTTGGGAAACTGAGATGGGAGGATCACTCGAGCCCACAAGTTAGAGGCTGCAGTGAGCTGTTATTGCACCACTGTTCTCCACCCTGGGTGACAGAGCAAGATCTTGACTCTTTAAAAAAAAAAAAAAGTTAACTTTAAACAATGAATAATGCTTGTGTGTTGTTTTCACAGTATTATCTAAACATAGAAGGGTAAAAATCCAAGTATCAGCCACTGTTTTGCTCTATCACATTTAATATCTGTGCACCAACAATAGTTTGTAGGATTATGGAATCATTAAACATAGATGCATATTATTCCAAGGCTTATTATGGATGTTTGTCATCACTGACTTTCCTTCAATATTAAAAAAGTGCTAAATTTTGATTGGATTATGATTATAATTTCTTCTATAATTGACAGATTCTGTAATACAAATGGTCATGTCTTCGAAAAAAAAAAACAAAAACAGGCACAGCCGGGCATGGTGGCTCACGCCTGTAATCCCAGCACTTTGGGAGGCTGAGGCGGGCGGATCATGAGGTCAAGAGATCGAGACCATCCTGGCCAACATGGTGAAACCCCGTCTCTACTAAAAATACAAAAATTAGCTGGGCGTGGTGGTGTGTGCCTGTAATTCCAGCTACTCAGGAGGCTGAGGTAGGAGAATCACTTGAACCCAGGAGGCGGAGGTTGCAGTGAGCCGAGATCTGCAACTGCACTCCAGCCTGGTGACAGAGCAAGACTCTGTCAAAACAAACAAACAAACAAAAAACCCCACAAAAAAACAGGCACAAGTATTGATCATAATGTTCTGAGTTAGTATAATGCAGTGTAAAACCATTATCCTTCCAATGTGCTGTTGGCTTTACCTAAAGTTTTTATAAAGATTGTTAAAAAGTTTTTGAGAAGATATAGTTCATGGTGGAATGATCTCAAAGTGGATTGTGTTAATCTAATTTTTAAAAGCCTTGCAGATGATGTGTGATTTAATATTTGCAAAGACATCATGTCTTTTTTATTCACCACTGTAGTTCAGTCTTGACCAGTCCTGGCATTTATAATAAGGAGAAGCCAAGGAAAAATAAGTTGCTACATTTGGAATTAATATTTGAGTAAAAGTAATAATTTTGCAGTCACTATTACAGTTATACACATGTACACTAAATGACACTTCTGTGATTGGAACTTCTCTAAAATTGTCAGTGTCTTTATCAGTGTGGTTCTGTTTTTCATTAGAAAGCATTAGAAAGAATAAAATAATGAAGAGTAACAGTGTTTATACCATAGACCCTTGAAATTAACTTAAAAGCAATGTTTCAAACTTGAAAGGTTTGAGGCTTGATTTGGGACACCCAGATGAAATACATTGTTGTCTGGAAATTAAGTATATTCTATGAGACTGGGATGTGGAGTGACTACTAGTGGATACAGATTTGTTTTTAGGGTGATGAAAATGTTCTGGAATTAGATAGTCGTGACTTTTGTGCCACCTTGTCAGTGTACTAAAAACCACTGCATTGTACACTTTGAAAGGGAGAGTTTTATGTTACGTAAATTTGAAATTCGTCAGTGTTGTGTGTATTAATACCTTTGCCTTTTTATTATGGACTAGTATTCCATTGATAGATCATAGCTGGTTTATCCATTTACATGCTGATGGACAGTTGGGTTGTTCCTAATTTTTTAATATTATAAATTAAGCTGCTATGAACATTCATGTACAAGTCTTTGTAGGAACATATCCTTTCATTTCTCTTGGATAAATACCTAGGATTGGAATGTCTAGATCATATGGTAGGTATATGTTTAACTTTTTAAAAAATTGCCAAGATTATTTTTCAAAGTTGTTGTAATGTTTACATTCTTTTTTTTTTTTTCTTTTTGAGACAAAGTTTTGCTGTTGTTGCCCAGGCTAGAGCACAATGGCGCAATCTCGCCTCACGGCAACCTCCGCCTCCCGGGTTTAAGCAATTCTCCTGCCTCAGCCTCCTGAGTAGCTGGAATTACAGGCGCCCACCACCATGCCCGGCTAATTTTTGTATATTTAGTAGAGACGGGGTTTCACCATGTTGACCAGGCTGGTCTTGAACTTCTGACCTCAGGTGATCCACCCTTCTCGGCCTCCCAAAGTGCTGGGATTACAGGCGTGAACCACCGCGCCCAGCCAATGTTTACATTCTTACCAGTAGTATTTGAAAGTTCTACTTCCCCCTACAACCATGCCAACACATGTTACACTGTCTTAATTTTAGTCATTCTAATAGGTATGTCGTGGTATCTTGTTTTGAGTTTTCAAAAAAAGCTGTAGTTAATAAAAGAGTTGAGTAAGGTTTCAATATACTAGATAAATATACAAAAAATTAATTGTATTTCTGTATACTCTTAGCAACAAGCAATTGGAAATTGAAATTCAAAAATACCACTTATAACAGCATAAAAATATGACAGACTTAAGGATAAGTCTAACAAAAGATGTGTAAAACCTGTACACTGAAAACTACAAAATATTGTTGAGAACAAAGAAGACCTAAATCAATCAATCAGTCAATGTTGTTCATCAGTTGGAAGACTTAATATTGTTTATTAAGATGTATGTTCTTCCCAACTTGATCTATGAATTCAACAGAATTTCAGTTTAAATTCCAGGGGGGCTTTTAGAAATTGACAAGCTGATTTTAAAATTCATATAGAAATTCAGAGGATCTCGAATAGCTAGAATAACTTTTAAGAGAAAACAGAGTTGGAGGAATAACCCTACCTGATTTGAAGACTTATTACAAAGACTCCTTGAAGTAATCAAGACATAAAGATCAATGGAACAGAGATCTCAGAAATAGACCCACATATATATGAACAACTGATTTTTGACACATTTAGTAGAGAAAAAAATAGTCTTTTCAACAGATGGTGCAGGAACAATTGGATCTCAATATGCAAAACAGTGAACTTGTATCCATACTTCATTTCATATAAAAATATTAACTCAGAATGAATTCGTGTCCTAAATGTAAAATCTAAAACTACAGAACTTAAAGTAGGAGACTCAGAAGATTTTTTTATTTTTATTTTTATTTTTTTCTTTTCTTCTTTTCTTAAATTTTTAATTTTACTTTAAGTTCCGGGATACATGTGCAGAACATGCAGGTTTGTTACATAGTTATACATGCGCCATGGTGGTTTGCTGCATCTATCAACCTGTCATCTAGGTTTTGTTGTTGTTGTTGTTTTTTGAGACGGAGTTTCACTCTCGTTGCACAGGCTGGAGTGCAATGGCGCAATCTCCGCTCACCGCAACCTCCGCCTCCTGGGTTCAAGCGACTCTCTTGCCTCAGCCTCCTGAGTAGCCGGGATTACAGGCATTCACCACCACGCCTGGCTAATTTTGTATTTTTAGTAGAGACAGGGCTTCTCCATGTTGGTCAGGCTGATCTTGAACTCCTGACTTCAGGTGACCTGCCCGCCTCGGCCTCCCAAAGTGCTGGGATTACAGGCGTGAGCCACTGCGCCTGGCCTAGGTTTTAAGCCTCATATGCATTAGTTATTTATCCTAATGCTCTCTCTCCCCTGCCCCCTGCCCCCTGACAGTCCCTGGTGTGTGTTGTTCCCCTCCCTGTGTCCAAGTGTTCTCGTTGTTCAACTCCCATTTACGAGTGAGAATGTGCAGTGTTTGGTTTTCTATTCCTGTGCTAGTTTGCTGAGGATGAAGGCTTCCAGCTTCATCCATGTCCCTGCCAAGGACATGATTTCATTTTTTTTTATGGCTGCATGGTGTGTGTAGCACATTTTCTTTATCCAATCTATCGTTGATGGACATTTGCGTTGGTTTCATGTCTTTGCTACTGTAAGTAGTGCTGCAGTAAACATACATGTGCATGTGTCTTTACAGTAGAATGATTTATATTCCTTTGGGTATATCCCAGTAATGGGATTGCTGGGGCAAATGGTATTTCTGGTTCTAGATACTTGAGGAATCGCCACACTTTCTTCCACAACTGTTGAACTAATTTACATTCCCACCAACAGTGTAAAAGCATTCCTATTTCTCCACAGCCTCATCAGCATCTATTGTTTCTTGACTTTTTAGTAATTGCCATTGGCGTGAGGTGGTATCTCATTATGGTTTTGATTTGCCTTTCTGTAATGATCAGTGATGTTAAGCTTTTTAAAATGTTTGTTGGCTGCATAAATGTCGTCTTTTGAGAAGAGTCTATTCATAACCTTTGCCCACTTTGTGATTTTTTGTTTGTTTCCTTGTAAATTTGTGTAAGTTCCTTGTAGATGCTGGATATTAGACATTTGTCAGATGGGTAGATTGCAAAATTTTTCTTCCATCCTGTAGGTTGCCTGTTCAGTCTGATGATAGTTTCTTTTGCTGTGCAGAAGCTCTTTAGTTTAATTAGATACCATTTATCAATTTTTGTTTTTGTTGCATTTGCTTTTGGCGTTTTCATCATGAAATCTTTGCCCATGCCCATGCCCTGAATGGTCTTGTCTATGTTTTCATCTAGCGTTTTTATACTTTTGGGTTTTACATTTAAGTCTTTAATCTATCTTGAGTTAATTTTTGAATAAGGTATAAGGAAGGAGTGCAGTTTCAGTTTTCTGCATACGGCTAGCCAGTTTTCCCAGCACCATTTATTAAATAGGGAATCTTTTCCCCATTGCTTGTTGTTGTCCAATTTGTTGAAGATCAGCTGGTTGTACATGTGTAGTGTTATTTCTGAGGTCTCTGTTCTGTTTCATTAGTTACATATCTCTTTTGGTACCAGGACCATGCTGTTTTGGTTACTGTAGCCTTGTAGTATAGTTTGAAGTCAGATCTCATGATGCCTCCAGTTTTGTTCCTTTTGCTTAGGATTGTCTTGGCTATATGAGCTCTTTTTTGGTTCCATATGAAATTTAAAGTAGTTTTTTCTAACTCTGTGAAGAATGTTAATGGTAGTTTGATAGGAATAGCATTGAATCTATAAATTACTTTGGATAGTATGGCCATTTTCACAGTATTGATTCTTCCTATCCATGAGCATGGAATGTTTTCTTATTAGTTTGTGTCTTCTCTTATTGCCTTGAGCTGTGGTTTGTAGTTCTCCTTGAAGAGGTCCTTCACTTCCCTTAGTAGCTGTGTTCCTAGATATTTTATTCTCTTTGTAGCAGTTGTGAGTGGGAGTTCATTCATGATTGGGCTCTCTGCTTGCCTGTTGTTGGTGTATAGGAATGCTTGTGATTTTTGCACATTGATTTTGTATCCTGAGACTTCACTGAAGTTGCTTATCAATTTAAGGAGTTTTTGGGCTGAGACTATGGGGTTTTCTAAATATACAGTTATGTCATCTGGAAACAGACAATTTGACTTCCTCTCTTCCTATTTGAATACGCTTTATTTCTTTCTGTTGCCTGCTTGCCCTGGCCAGAACTTCCAATGCTATGTTGAATAGGAGAGGTGAGAGAGGGCATCCTTGTCTTGTGCCTGTTTTCAAAGGGAATGCTTCCAGCTTTTGCCCATTTAGTATGATATTGGCTATGGGTTTGTCATAAATAGCTCTCATTATTTTGAGATATGTTCCATCAGTACCTAGTTTATTGAGAGTTTTTAACATGAAGGTGTGTTGAATTTTATCAGAGCCCTTTTCTGTGTCTGTTGAGGTAATCTTATGTTTTTTTGTCATTGGTTCTGTTTATGTGATGGATTATGTTTATTGATTTGCATATGTTGAACCAGCCTTGCATCCCGTGGATGAAGCCGAGTTGATCGTGGTGGATAAGTTTTTTACTGTGCTGCTGGATTCGGTTTGCCAGTATTTTATTGAGGATTTTCACATCGATGTTCATCAGGGATATTCGCCTGAAGTTTTCTTTTTTTGTTGTGTCTCTGCCAGATTTTGGTATCAGAGTGATGCTGACCTCATAAAATGAGTTAGGGAGGAGTCCCTCCTTTTCAGTTGTTTGGAATATCATCTGAAGGAGTGGTACCAGCTCCTCTTTGTACCTCTGGCAGAATTCGGCTGTGAATCCGTCTGGTCCTGGGCTTTTTTGGCTGGTAGGCTATTAATTAGTGCCTCAATTTTGGGACTTGTTATTAGTCTATTCAGAGATTTGACTTCTTCCTGGCTTAGTCTTGGGAGTGTGTATGTGTCCAAGTATTTTTCCATTTCTTCTAGATTTTCTAGTTCATTTGCGTAGAGGTTTTTATAGTATTCTCTTGGTGGTAGTTTGTATTTCTTTGGGGTCAGTGGTGATATCCCCTTTATCATTTTTTATTGTGTCTACTTGATTCTTCTCTCTTTTCTTTATTAGTCTAGCTAATGCTCTATTTTGTTAATTTTTTCAAAAAACCAGCTCCTGGATTCATTAATTTTTTGAAGGATTTTTCGTGTCTGTGTCTCCTTCAGTTCTGCTCTGATCTTAGTCATTTCTTGTCTTCTGCTAGCTTTTGGGTTTGTTTGCTTTTGCTTCTCTAGTTCTTTTAATTGTGATGTTAAGGTGTCGATTTTAGATCTTTCCTGCTTTCTCCTGTGGGCATTTAGTGCTATAAATTTCCCTCTAAACACTGCTTTAAATGTGTCCCAGAGATTCTGGTATGTTGTCTCTTTGTTCTAATTGGTTTCAAAGAACTTCTTGATTTCTTCCTTTAATTTTGTTATTTACCCAGGAGTCATTTAGGAGCGGTTGTTCAATTTCCATGTAGTTATTTGGTTTTGAGTGAGTTTCTTAATCCCGAGTTCTAATTTGATTGCATTGTGGACTGTTTGTTATGATTTCCATTCTTTTGCATTTGCTGACAAGTGTTTATTTCCAATTATGAGGTTGATTTTAGAATAACTGCCTTGTGGCACTGAGAAGAATGTATATTCTGTTGATTTAGAATGGAGAGTTCTGTAGATGGCTGTTAGGTCCACTTGATCCAGAGTGAGTTCAAGTCGTGAATATCCTCGTTAATTTTCTGTCCCGTTGATCTGTCTAATGTTGACAGTGGGGTGTTAAAGTCTCCCACTATTACTGTGTGGGAGTCTGAGTCTCTTTGTAGGTCTCTAAGAACTTGTTTTATGAATCTTGGTGCTCCTCTCTTGGGTGTATATATATTTAGGATAGTTAGCTTTTCTTGTTGAATTGATCCATTTATGATTATATAATGACCTTCTTTGTCTTTTTTGATCTTTGTTGGTTTAAAGTCTCTTTTATTAGAGACTAGGATTGTAACCCCTGCTTTTTTTTGTTTCCCATTTGCTTGGTAAATTTTCATCTATCCTCTTATTTTGAGCCTATGTATATCTTTGCACGTGAGATGGGTCTCCTGAATATAGCTCATCAGTTGATCTTGACTCTTTATTCAATTTGCCAGTCTGTACCTTTTTAATTGGGACATTTAGCCCATTTACATTTAAGGTTAAAATTGTTATGTGTGAATTTGATCCTGTCATCATGATGCTAACTTGTTATTTTGCACACTAGTTGATGCAGTTTCTTCATAGTGTCATTGGTGTTTTCATTTTGGTATGCTTTTGCAGTGGCTGGTACTGGTTTTTCCTTTCCATATTTAGTGCTTCCTTCAGTAGCTCTTGCAAAGCAGGCCTGGTGGTGATGAAATCCCTTAGCATTTGCTTGTCTAGAAAGGATTTCCTTTCTTATTTCTGCTTTGTTCATGAAGCTTAGTTTGGCTGGATATGAAATTCTGGGTTGAAAATTCTTCTCTTTAAGAATGCTGAGGCCAGGCGCAGTGACTCATGCCTGTAATCCCAGCACTTTGGGACGCCGAGGCGGGCAGATCTCGAGGTCAGGAGTTCGAGACCAGCCTGACCAACATAGTGAAACCCCTTCTCTACTGAAAATAGAAAAATTAGCCAGGCGTGATGGTGCACACCTGTAATCCCAGCTACTCAGGAGGCTGAGGCAGGAGAATCACTTGAACCTGGGAGGCAGAGGTTGTGGTGAGCCGAGATTGCGCCACTGCACTGCAGCCTGGGCGACAGAGTGAGACTCCATCACAAAAAAAAAAAAAAGGAATGTTGAATGTTGGCCCCCACTCTCTTCTGGCTTGTAGAGTTTCTGCTGAGAGATCCGCTGTTAGTCTGATGGGCTTCCCTTTTCTAGGTGACCTGACCTTTTTCTCTGGCTGCTCTTAACATTTTTTCCTTCAATTCAACCGTGAAGAATCTGATGATTATATGTCTTGGGGTTTATCTTCTCATGGAATATCTTAGTGGTGTTCTCTGTATTTCCTGAATTTGAATGTTGGCCTGTCTTGCTAGGCTGGGGAAGTTCTCCTGGATAATATCCTGAAGAGTCTTTTCCAACTTGATTCCATTCACCCCATCTCTTTCAGGTACTCCAATCAATCATAGGTTCTTTATTTTTACATAGTTCCATATTTCTCCGAGATTTTGTTCATTTTTTTTTCATTCTTTTTTCTCTAATCTTGTCTGTATGCCTTATTTCAGCAAGGTGATCTTCAGACTCTGATATCCTTTCTTCCACTTGATCTATTCGGCTGTTGATACTTGTGTATGCTTCACTAAGTTTTTCAGCTGCATCAAGTCATTAATGTTCCCCTCTAAACTGGTTATTCTAGTTAGCAGCTCCTGTAACCTTTTATCAAGGTTCTTAGCTTCTTTGCATTGGGTTAGAACATGCTTCTTTAGCTCAGCAGAGTTTGTAATTACCCACCTTCTGAAGCCTACTTCTGTCAATTAGTTCATCTCATCCTCCGTCCAGTTCTGCGCCCTTGCTGGAGAGCTGTTGCGATCATTTGGAGGAGAAGACGCATTCTGGTTATTGGAATTTTCAGCATTTTTTCACTGGTTTTTCCTCATCTTTGTGGATTTATCTACCTTTGATCTTTGAGGCTGATGACCTTTGGGTGGGGTTTTTGTGTGGGGGTCTTTTTGTTGTTGTTGTTGTTGCTTTCTGTTTGTTAGTTTTTCTTCCAACGGACCCCTCTTCTGCAGGTCTGCTGCAGTTTGCTGGGGGTCCACTGCAGACCCTGTTCACCTGGGTATCACCAGTGGAGGCTGCAGAACAGAAAAGATTGCTGCCTGCTCCTTCCTCTGGAAGCTTCGTCCCAGAGGGTCACTGGCCTGATGCCAGCTGGAGCTCTCCTGTATGAGGTGTCTGTCAACTCCTGTTGGGAGGTCTCTCCCAGAAACATAGAAGATTTCTGTGACTTTGAATTAGACAGTGATTCTTAGATATTACCCAAAGCACAATTCACAAGAGAATAAAGTTGATAAATTAGATTTCATCAAAATTTAAGAAGCTCTTCAAATGATACTGTTACGAGAATAAAAAGACAAACTGTGGACAAGGAGAAAATATTTGCAAAGTATATTTGATAGAGGACTTGCATCCAGACATATCAAAAGACTCAAAACTTAATAGGAACTCCAACAACCCACTTAAAAAATAGGCAAAAGAGTTGAACAGACACTTCACCCAAGATGATGACAGATACGCATCTGTAAACATGCTCAACATCGTTAGGCATTAGGGAAATGAAAATGAAAAGTATACTATTATCTTATTGTCAGAGAATAAGCAGAATTATTTTAGTGCAGACATATTTATTGTACTTTTTAATGCAGGTTATTATGTAATAGTTTAAAAAATAAAACTACAAAGTGTAGATTGAATGATTAAGTTATATCACATAGATTCATGATTTTTCTTTAAGAAGAGTCTTGGGACTAGATGAAAATTTAGATAGGCATTACTACAAAGTGGTGATGTTATTTAAGCATGAGTAAGGTAATGTACTTAACTACATTCATGGCTGCCAAGAGACAGTATTTACCTGGGTAAATTTGTCATAATCCAGGATCTGTTCTCTTTCTTACTCTTTCTGGCTTAGAAACTTTATTTTGCTATACTGAGAATTGATTTAATAATTGTTTATAGATATTTTATTGCCTGACTTGTTCTAAAGAGGGCATTAATTTGACTAACAGTAAATCAAAAGATAATGAAAAAGAGGCTAGCAACAAGAGTAAAAGAAGGATGATTTGTAGGGAGTTTCTTTGACAGCCCAGCTTTTACATTAAAGTCCTCAATTGAGGCAGGAAGGATTCATCATTCTCCTCTCCACCTCCCATCGATGGATACTCTGCTTTTGAGGGGAAATGGAATATGGGATTCACAGGAGGGTGAGGATGACTGTATCTCTTATACACCATAATGACAACTCATCCTTCTGAAATTTTCCCAATTCTGTATATTAATGCATTTAGTCTCTCGAATGTTAGAACGATTCTCTACTAATCCCACTTGTGAAAACAGAATTGTTAGTATATTTATGGTTGAAATGTATAGGTTACCGTGATAAACTTTGTATCTTTTTTTTAATGTTCTTGGCTGAATCAATCTCTTCGTTTTATGAAGTCTGCTTATATATCTAGCAAGATTTTTAGTTTTCATCAATAATATATCTATATCCCACATATTGAGTCTCATGATAACATTAATTCTAGGTAGCTATTTAGTATTATCTAATCTATTTTTGACTTATCCTACAAATAGAGATTAAAGGAGGAAAAATTTCCCATAAAGTAACCAGACCATACCTTCATGAATGAATACTCTTTAGTCTGTTTATGAAAATCATGATTTATAATTCGTTTAATTTATTTATCAAACAATTAGGTTTCAATATACATAAGCCCTGTAGCTTGTTAGAATCTCCTACAGAGTGAGTAAAATGCAGTTTCTGTGTTTGAGAAGTGTAAGATCTGTCCTTATCTATAAACTCAGCATAAAACTGATAATGACAACAACAATATATTGATGATGATGATGATAATATCCATGGGGTAAACCAGTCTCTGCCTAGTCTTCCTATTTTGGCTCATCTGCACTTTGCATGAAGTAACAATAAAAAAAACTTTGGTCATTCTTTTATCATAAAACTTGGAAAAATTCATTTACTTATTCAGCCATTGTTTATTGAATATCTACTATGTGTGCTATGTGCTATTCCAGACACTGAAAACACAAGACACTGAACAAAACAGAAACCCCCTACCCTTTGTAGAATGTATATTCCAGTGGGTCCTAAGGACACCCATCTGGTGTATCTGTAAAAATCTGATTCTAAAGCCTGAGCTGGTAAACCACCAATGCTATACTCTTTTCTTAAACTCTGTGGCAGCATTTAATTGCTTCATAAAAGGGATTTCTGCTATTGGTAGGTCTCCCAGTGTCCTTTAAAAAAATCACATTATTATTGTACTTTCTAAGAATACTTTATACAAAATAGGTTTAAATGTATATTATAATTAAGTGAAAATGAGAAAATGACTTCTGATTGAGCTATAACCTCATAATAAACCAAAATATAAAATATGTGTGTGTGTGTGTGTGTGTGTGTGTGTGTGTGTGTGTGTAAAATAGGCCATGTTTATATAGAAAATGTATTTTATGTTAGGATTGTGGGTTGACTGTTGTTAGTAACTTAATATTCTATTTTAAAGCTTTATTGCATTATTGAAGAATCATTTTTTAAAAGTATAATCAAGCAATTGGATATGATAGAAAATATTTCCTCTACTAATTTTAATCGCTTATGGTCTATTTTCTGAGTTTTACATTTTTATTGCCTAGCTGCAATATATTAACACCACGTGTCATGAGAGAATATTCTTTTATTTTATTTTATTTTATTATTATTATACTTTAAGTTTTAGGGTACATGTGCACAATGTGCAGGTTTGTTACATATGTATACATGTGCCATGTTGGTGTGCTGCACCCATTAACTCGTCATTTAGCATTAGGTATATCTCCTAATGCTTTCCCTCCCCTCTTCCCCCACCCCACAACAGTCCCCGGAGTGTGATGTTCCCCTTCCTGTGTCCATGTGTTCTCATTGTTCAGTTCCCACCTATCAGTGAGAAGATATGGTGTTTGGTTTTTTGTCCTTGCAATAGTTTGCTGAGAATGATGGTTTCCAGCTTCATCCATGTCCCTACAAAGGACATGAACTCTTCATTTTTTATGGCTGCATAGTATTCCATGGTGTATATGTGCCACATTTTCTTAATCCAGTCTATCATTGTTGGACATTTGGGTTGGTTCCAAGTCTTTGCTATTGTGAATAGTGCCACAGTAAACATACGTGTGCATGTGTCTTTATAGCAGTGTGATTTATAATCCTTTGGGTATATACCCAGTAATGGGATGGCTGGGTCAAATGGTATTTCTAGTTCTAGATCCCTGAGGAATCGCCACACTGACTTGCACAATGGTGGAACTAGTTTACAGTCCCACCAACAGTGTAAAAGTGTTGCTATTTCTCCACATCCTCTCCAGCACCTGTTGTTTCCTGACTTTTTAATGATCGCCATTCTAACTGGTGTGAGATGGTATCTCATTGTGGTTTTGATTTGCATTTCTCTGATGGCCAGTGATGATGAGCATTTTTTCATGTGTCTTTTGGCTGCATAAATGTCTTCTTTTGAGAAGTGTCTGTTCATATCCTTTGCCCACTTTTTGATGGGGTTGTCTGTTTTTTTCTTGTAAATTTGTTTGAGTTCATTGTAGATTCTGGATATTAGCCCTTTGTCAGATGAGTAGGTTGCAAAAATTTTCTCCCATTTTGTAGGTTGCCTGTTCACTCTGATGGTAGTTTCTTTTGCTGTGTAGAAGCTCTTTAGTTTAATTAGATCCCATTTGTCAATTTTGTCTTTTGTTGCCATTGCTTTTGGTGTTTTAGACATGAAGTCCTTGCCCATGCCTATATCCTGAATGGTATTGCCTAGGTTTTCTTCTAGGGTTTTTATGGTTTTAGGTCTAACATGTAAGTCTTTAATCCATCTTGAATTAATTTTTGTATAAGGTGTAAGGAAGGGATCCAGTTTCAGCTTTCTACATATGGCTAGCCAGTTTTCCCAGCACCATTTATTAAATAGGGAATCCTTTCCCCATTGCTTGTTTTTGTCAGGTTTGTCAAAGATCAGATGGTTGTAGATATGCGGCATTATTTCTGAGGGCTCTGTTCTGTTCCATTGGTCTATACCTCTGTTTTGGTACCAGTACCATGCTGCTTTGGTTACTGTAGCCTTGTAGTATAGTTTGAAGTCAGGTAGCATGATGCCTCCAGCTTTGTTCTTTTGGCTTAGGATTGACTTGGCAATGTGGGCTCTTTTTTGGTTCCATATGAAGTTTAAAGTAGTTTTTTCCAATTCTGTGAAGAAAGTCATTGGTAGCTTGATGGGGATGGCATTGAATCTATAAATTACCTTGGGCAGTATGGCCATTTTCACGATATTGATTCTTCCTACCCATGAGCATGGAATGTTCTTCCATTTGTTTGTGTCCTCTTTTATTTCACTGAGCAGTGGCTTGTAGTTCTCCTTGAAGAGGTCCTTCACATCCCTTGTAAGTTAGATTCCTAGGTATTTTATTCTCTTTGAAGCAATTGTGAATGGGAGTTCACTCATGATTTGGCTCTCTGTTTGTCTGTTATTGGTGTATAAGGATGCTTGTGATTTTTGCACATTGATTTTGTATCCTGAGACTTTGCTGAAGTTGCTTATCAGCTTAAGGTGATTTTGGGCTGAGACAGTGGGGTTTTCTAGATATACAATCATGTCATCTGCAAACAGGGACAATTTGGCTTCCTATTTTCCTAATTGAATACCCTTTATTTCCTTCTCCTGCCTAATTGCCCTGGCCAGAACTTCCAACACTATGTTGAATAGGAGTGGTGAGAGAGGGCATCCCTGTCTTGTGCCAGCTTTCAAAGGGAATGCTTCCAGTTTTTGCCCATTCTGTATGATATTGGCTGTGGATGTGTCATAGATAGCTCTTATTATTTTGAGATATGTCCCATCAATACCTAATTTATTGAGAGTTTTTAGCATGAAGTGTTGTTGAATTTTGTCAAAGGCCTTTTCTGCATCTATTGAGATAATCGTGTGGTTTTTGTCTTTGGTTCTGTTTATATGCTGGATTACATTTATTGATTTTCATATGTTAAACCAGCCTTGCATCCCAGGGATGAAGCCCACTTGATCATGGTAGATAAGCTTTTTGATGTGCTGCTGGATTCGGTTTGCCAGTATTGTATTGAGGATTTTTGCATCAGCGTTCATCAAGGATATTGGTCTAAAACTCTCTTTTTTTGTTGTGTCTCTGCCAGGCTTTGGTATCAGGATGATGCTGGCCTCATAAAGTGAGTTAGGGAGGATTCCCTCTTTTTCTATTGATTGGAATAGTTTCAGAAGGAATGGTACCAGCTCCTCCTTGTACGTCTGGTAGAATTTGGCTGTGAATCCATCTGCTCCTGGACTTTTTTTGGTTGGTAAGCTATTGATTATTGCCACAATTTCAGAGTCTGTTATTGGTCTATTCAGAGATTCAACTTCTTCCTGTTTTAGTCTTGGGATGGTGTATGTGTCGAGGAATTTATCCATTTCTTCTAGATTGTCTAGTTTATTTGCGTAGAGGTGTTTGTAGTATTCTGTGATGGTAGTTTGTATTTCTGTGGGATCGGTGGTGATATCCCCTTTATCATTTTTTATTGCATCTATTTGATTCTTCTCTCTTTTCTTCTTTATTAGTCTTGCTAGCAGTCTATCAGTTTTGTTGATCTTTTCAAAAAACCAGCTCCTGGATTCATTAATTTTTTGAACGGTATTTTGTGTCTCTATTTCCTTCAGTTCTGCTCTGATTTTAGTTATTTCTTGCCTTCTGCTAGCTTTTGAATGTGTTTGCTCTTGCTTTTCTAGTTCTTTTAATTGTGACGTTAGGGTGTCAATTTTGGATCTTTCCTGCTTTCTCTTGTGGGCATTTAGTGCTATAAATTTCCCTCTACACACTGCTTTGAATGTGTGCCAGAGATACTGGTATGTTGTGTCTTTGTTTCCGTTGGTTTCAGAGAACATCTTTATTTCTGCCTTCATTTCGTTATGTACCCAGTAGTCATTCTGGAGCAGGTTGTTCAGTTTCCATGTAGTGGAGCGGTTTTGAGTGAGTTTCTTAATCCTGAGTTCTAGTTTGATTGCACTGTGGTCTGAGAGACAGTTTGTTATAATTTCTGTTTACATTTGCTGAGGAGTGCTTTACTTCCAGCTATGTGGTCAATTTTGGAATAGGTGTGGTGTGGTGCTGAAAAGAATGTATATTCTGTTGATTTAGGGTGGAGAGTTCTGTAGATGTCTATTAGGTCCGCTTGGTGCAGAGCTGAGTTCAATTCCTGGGTATCCTTTTTAACTTTCTGTCTCGTTGATCTGTCTAATGTTGACAGTGGGTTGTTAAAGTCTCCCGTTATTATTGTGTAGGAGTCTAA
The DNA here is from genome assembly GCF_000001405.40 of Homo sapiens. Classification (NCBI taxonomy): domain Eukaryota; kingdom Metazoa; phylum Chordata; class Mammalia; order Primates; family Hominidae; genus Homo; species Homo sapiens. The sequence continues at coordinate 356,079 of NW_017852930.1, read as the reverse complement.
GTCTCTTTGTAGGTCACTAAGGACTTGCTTTATGAATCTGGGTTGTCCTGTATTAGGTGCATATACATTTAGGATAGTTAGCTCTTCTTGTTGAATTGATCCCTTTACCATTATGTAATGGCCTTCTTTGTCTCTTTTGATCTTTGTTGGTTTAAAGTCTGTTTTATCAGAGACTAGGATTGCAACCCCTGCCTTTTTTTGTTTTCCATTTGCTTGGTAGATCTTCCTCCATCCCTTTATTTTGAGCCTATGTGTGTCTCTGCACGTGAGATGGGTTTCCTGAATACAGCACACTGATGGGTCTTGACTCTATCCAGTTTGTCAGTCTGTGTCTTTTAATTGGAGCATTTAGCCCATTTACATTTAAGGTTAATATTGTTATGTGTGTATTTGGTCTTGTCATTATGATGTTAGCTGGTTATTTTGCTCGTTAGTTGATGCAGTTTCTTCCTAGCCTTGATGGTCTTTACATTTTGTCATGTTTTTGCAGTGGCTGGTACCGGTTGTTCCTTTCCATGTTTAGTGCTTCTTTCAGGAGCTCTTTTAGGGCAGGCCTGGTGGTGACAAAATCTCTCAGCATTTGCTTGTCTGTAAAGGATTTTATTTCCCCTTCACTTATGAAGCTTAGTTTGGCTGGATATGAAAATTCTGGGTTGAAAATTCTTTTCTTTAAGAATGTTGAATATTGGTCCCCACTCTCTTCTGGCTTGTAGAGTTTCTGCCGAGAGATCCGCTGTTAGTCTGATGGGCTTCCCTTTGTGGGTAACCCGACCTTTCTCTCTGGCTGCCCTTAACATTTTGTCCTTCATTTCAACTTTGGTGAATCTGACAATTACGTGTGTTGGAGTTGCTCTTCTCGAGGAGCATCTTTGTGGCGTTCTCTGTATTTCCTGAATCTGAATGTTGGCCTGCCTTGCTAGATTGGGGAAGTTCTCCTGGATAATATCCTGCAGAGTGTTTTCCAACTTGGTTCCATTCTCCCCATCACTTTCAGGTACACCAATCAGACGTAGACTTGGTCTTTTCACATAGTCCCATATTTCTTGGAGGCTTTGTTCATTTCTTTTTATTCTTTTTTTCTCTAAACTTCCCTTCTCGCTTCAGTTCATTCATTTCGTCTTCCATCACTGGTACCCTTTCTTCCAGTTGATCGCATCAGCTCCCGAGGCTTCTGCATTCTTCACGTAGTTCTTGAGCCTTGGCTTTCAGCTACCTCAGCTCCTTTAAGGACTTCTCTGCATTGGTTATTCTAGTTAGCCATTCGTCTACTTTTTTTTCAAGGTTTTTAACTTCTTTGCCATTGGTTCGAACTTTCTCCTTTAGCTCAGAGTAGTTTGATCTTCTGAAGCCTTCTTCTCTCAACACGTCAAAGTCATTCTCCTTCCAGCTTTGTTCCATTGCTGGTGAGGAGCTGCGTTCCTTTGGAGGAGGAGAGGCGCTCTGATTTTTAGGGTTTCCAGTGTTTCTGCTTTGTTTTTTTCCCATCTTTGTGGCTTTATCTACTTTTGGTCTTTGATGTTGGTGATGTACAGAAGGGTTTTTGGTGTGGATGTCCTTTCTGTTTGGTAGTTTTCCTTTTAACAGACAGGACCCTCTGCTACAGGTCTGTTGGAGTTTGCTAGAGGTCCACTCCAGACCCTGTTTGCCTGGGTATCAGCAGCGGTGGCTGCAGAACAGCGGTGGCTGTAGAACAGTGGATGTTGGTGAACCGCAAATGCTGCTGCCTGATCGTTCCTCTGGAAGTTTTGTCTCAGAGGAGTACCCGGCCGTGTAAGGTGTCAGTGTGCCCCTACTGGGGGGTGCCTCCCAGTTAGGCTGCTCGGGGGTCACGGACCCACTTGAGGAGGCAGTCTGCCCATTCTCAGATCTCCAGCTGCGTAGTGGAAGAACCACTACTCTCTTCAAAGCTGTCAGACAGGGACCTTTAAGTCTGCAGAGGTTACTGCTGTCTTTTTGTTTGTCTGTGCCCTGCCCCCAGAGGTGGAGCCTACAGAGGCAGGCAGGCCTCCTTGAGCTGTGGTGGGCTCCACCCAGTTGGAGCTTCGGGGCTGCTTTGTTTACCTAATCAAGCCTGGGCAATGGCAGGCGCCCCTCCCCCAGCCTTGCTGCTGCCTTGCAGTTTGATCTCAGACTGCTGTGCTAGCAATCAGCGAGACTCTGTGGGCATAGGACCCTCCGAGCCAGGTGCGGGATATAATCCCCTGGTGTGCCGTTTTTTTAAGCCCATTGGAAAAGTGCAGTATTAGGGTGGGAGTTACCCGATTTTCCAGGTGCCTTCTGTCACCCCTTTCTTTGACTAGGAAAGGGAACTCCCTGACCCCTTGCTCTTCCCGAGTGAGGCAATGCCTCGCCCTGCTTCGGCTCGTGCATGGTGCGTTGCACCCACTGTCTTGCACCCACTGTCTGGCACTCTCTAGTGAGATGAACGCGATACCTCAGATGGAAATGCAGAAATCACCCGTCTTCTGCGTCGCTCACGCTGGGAGCTGTTCCTGTTCAGCCATCTTAGCTCCACCCACCCCATGAGAGAATATTCTTAAAACCAAATACGTCATAGAAGCATTATGATACATTTATTGTGGAAGAGAGGGGTAGTTTAAACTTGTTTCATCCACTGATGTTCTTATTGTAGCTATGATATTTCTTAATCTGATAAAACAATACTTATAGGCAAACGTTTCTCACTTATGTATAGATGAAAGTATGATTTATATAACCTTGCCATACAATAGGGACCCATTAATTACTGAAGTAATTAATGTTTTTTGAGATGTCTATAATATGTTGCAGTTGGTGAAGATTTTAGAAAGTTTTATTTCGGCCGGGTGTGGTCGTTCATGCCTGTAATCCAGCACTTCGGGAGGCTGAGGCGGGTGGATCACGAGGTCTGGAGATCAAGACCATCGTGGCTAATATGGTGAAACCCTGTGTCTACTAAAAAAAAAAAAAAAAAAATACAAAAAATTAGCTGGGCATGGTGGTGGGTGCCTGTAGTCCCAGCTACTCGGGAGGCTGAGGCAGGAGAATGGTGTGAACCCGGGAGGCAGAGCTTGCAGTGAGCGGAGATTGCACCACTGCACTCCAGCCTGGGTGACAGCGAGACTCCATCTCAAAAAAAAAAAAAAAAGAAAAGAAAAGGAAGTTTTATTTCAAGGCTATTAAAATTGTTCATTGATAGGAAAGGTTGAAAATAAACCATGAGCTTTGAAAGAAGCTGCAGGCTACAGCCTATACTGTGAGCCAGGTGAAAAACTGTAAGTCCCCAGAGGGTGAGAGTGGAAGAGACTGCCTCCAGGATACACACCCCTACAGGGGAACCTGACAATCCAACCCACAGGGGAAGACCTTTATCCTACTCAACACTGGAACTGATTTAGGAAGTGGTGACATATATAAAAGTAGGAACGGCAGTGGGAGCAGCCTTGCGTGCTTTCCCAGTCTGCAGAGTAGACCAAGGGGAGCCATTCATTATTCTGCCTCACAGTGTATCTCATGGAAGTCCGCCAGCTAACTCAGGAAGCAGTCACAGGTTGAAAGAACCTCCCAACTGAATTTCATGATAACCTCGAATGAGGAAGAATTTCCTAGGCCAGAACCAGAGGGTGAGTGGCAAGTGTCCTGTAGCCACAAGCTAGGGAGCTGGGTGCCCCAGCTGTGTGAGCCAACTGGGAGGGGCGTGGCCTGAAACCTGTGGTTCCTGTTTTCCCGCAGGGAAGGCATATGGCTTGGGGCAGTTTTGAGTAGAAGGTCTAGAACTTAGCTGGATGCTGCTACTGGGAAACTGTGGGTGTGAGATCTGCCTTGCGAAGTATGCGGGGAGCTGGGTGAGCTGGGTGGGGTTTACTATCACCTGTTACTTCCCACTCCCTACATACAATTCTCTGTGCAGCAGAGACAGTTAATACACCTCTCTGGAACATTACCCCAGTGCCAGAGAAACCTCCCTCAAACTCCTGCCCAGGGGCTGCTGCTTGCCCCACTTGTGGAGAGTCAGAGCAGGGACCTGCCTGACCCCAGCCCCCACCTGGCTTTACCCCTCCAGCCACCCTGGTAGTTTAACACAAAGGACAGAAACTTTTGGGAGCTTTATGGCCCTGCCCATTCCTGAGAAACCAAAGCACTGCCCCTGGGTAACATAAGACCAACACAAATACCACTGTTAACTACTGCAGCTGGTGCTCTTTTGCACACATCATTTCCTGGCTGGAGGCCAACTAACACAGTCCATTACATCATCTCCAGGTAGAATAATACTGCACCCAGGAAGGAGAAAACTTGTGCATGACCTTACCTGTCACCATTGCCTCTACTACCCTGGCCAACCAGGAGGTCCTGAGTCTGTCCACATAACCTTTTCATTACTACTACAACCATCATTTCAGAAAGCCAACACATTAAGACTATCCATAACCAAGGAATCTCACAGTCTGTGTCACTTTCCTGCCACCCCCATCAGAGCTGGTACTGGTACCCACTGCTGGGAGACTTGAGGACAGGCCATATCTCTGGATTCCTTGCAGGCATTCCAAGCAGCAGCCTAGAGTATGGCAGCCACACTGGGCATCTAGACCCAGAGGAACAACAGCATTCACAGTATTCTTGCCCTTAGGGACACCTGTTTCTAGGGGAAGGGAGAGTGTACCACATCAAGGGACCACCCATGGCACAAAAGAACCCAGGCGGGAGGCCTTGAGTCCCAGATCTTTCCACTGGTGGGAAGTTTCTTTCAGGAGAAATACAGTTGCCATGCTGGGCTCAGCAAGGAAAGTCTGCAGCTCTGCCCCAACAGTCAGGCAGTCCTGGTGCTTGTGAATAGCCTTGGAGAAGATGACTTCTTTTCCCCCTCATTCACCACTGCAGACACAGGTGGGGCTTTTCCCATGGGAGCTTGGCATGGGTATACCTATAGACAACCTCTCTGAAACACTTCAGGGTGACTGCATCCCCACAGGAGGAGCACTTTCCAAGTGCAGGATTGCATGAGAGGCAGAGGCACAATTCCTCTCCACTTGAAACATCAACATTCCTGCAGATGAATTTTCTGCCAGCCTGACAAGGGAGCTAAGGTGGCTCCAGTCCCTCCCTCTGGTAAGACCTCAGTGTGTTTCACTGAGAGCTTCCTCGGCCACCTCTGTCAAGGCTGGGACCTTTCCCCACCATTGGGTATTGCATTTACCCACCTGCTTTAGCCAAAGCTGGTTTTTACCTGTGGACACCTCCTGTATTGGCCTGAAGCCTAAAATATTCAATCCAGTAAATAAAATACTGGGGAAAAAATAAATAAAAAAGTGCACATCACAGGGGAATGAGATTAAGCGTCAAGAGACCTCTACCATTTCAACCCTATGGGAGACAGTGAACTTGCTCACATGACCAACATATTGCTACTACAACCAGCAGCAGAGAAAGCTATCATACAAAGACTCTTAATAACCAAGGAACTCAGAGTTTCCACCCCTGAAAGCACCAAGAACTGAATTCTCTCTTTGAGAGATAAACAAAATGGATAGACCATTAAGCTAGATGAACCAAGAAAAAAAAGAAGATTCAAATAAGCTCAATTAGAAATGAAACTGGAGACATTACAACCAATGCCACAGAACGCAATAGATCATTTGAGACTACTATTAACACCCCTATGCATATCAACTAGAAAACCTCGAGGAAATGGATAAATTCCTGGAAACATACAACCCTCCTAGATTAAATCCGGAAGAAATAGAAACCCTGAGCAGACCAATAACAAGCAGCAAGATTAAATCAGTAATAAAAAAAATTGCCAACAAAGAAAAAGCCCAGGGCTAGATAGATTCACAGCTGAATTCTACCAGATATTCAAAGATGAACTGGTATCAATCTTACTGCAACTATTGCAAAAGATTGAGAAAGAGGGAATTCTCTCTGAATCATTCTTTGAAGCCGGTATTACCCTGATACCAAAACTCAGAAAGGACATAACAAAAAAAGAAAACTACAGAGCAATATCCCTGATGAACATTGATGCAAAAATTTTCAACAAAATACTAACTAACCAAATCCAACATCACATCAAAAAGATAATGCATGGTGATCGAGGGGTTTTATTTCAGGGATGCAGGGATGATTTAACATATGCAAATCAATAAATGTGATATATCACATAAACAGAATTATAAATAAAAACTATATGATCATCTCAATAGATGCAGAAAAAGCATCCGGTAAAATCCAGCATCCTTTTATGATAAAAAACCCTCAACAAACTAGGCATAGAAGGGATTTCCTTCAAATTAATAAAAGCCATATATGACAAACCCACAGCCGACATCATACTGAACGGGGAAAAGTTGAAAGCCTTCCCCCTGAGAACTGGAACAAGACAAGGATGCCCACTTTGATCACTTCTATTCAACATAGTACTGGAAGTCCTAGTCCTAGTCAGAGCAATCAGGGAAGAGAAGGAAGTAAAGGGCTTCCAAATTGGAAAAAGAAAGTCAAACTATCACTGTTCACTGATGATGTGATTGTATACATGAAAAACCCTAAATAAAGACTGCTCCAGAAGACTCCTAGATTTGATAAACAAGTAAAGTCTCAGGTTACAAAGTCAATGTACACAAATCAGTAGCACTGCTACACACCAACCACCAAGCTGAGAATCAAATCAAGAACTTAGCCCCTTTTGCATCTGCAAAAAAGATAAAATACTAGGAATATACTTAACCAAGGAGGTGAAAGATCTCTACAAGGTGAACTACAAAACTGCTGAAAGAAAACGTGGATGACACAAACAAATGGAAACACATCTTGTGTTCATAGATTGGAAGAATCAATATTGTGAAAATAACCATACTGCCCAAAGCAGTCTACATATTCAGTGCAATTCCCCATCAAAATACCAACATTATTTTTCACCGAATGGGAAAAAAAATCCTAAAATTCATTTGGAACCAAAAAGAGCCCAAATAACCAAAGCAATCCTAAGCAAAAAGAACACATCTGGAGGCATCATATTACTGGACTCTTAGTTATACTACAAGGCTGTATACAGTTACCAGAACAGCATGGTTCTGGTATAAAAGTAGGCACATAGACCCAATGAAACAGAATAGAGAACTCAGAAATAAAGCCAAATACTTAGAACCAAGTGATCTTCAACAAAGCATCAAAAACATAAATTGGGGAAAGAACACCCTATTAAATAAATGCTGCTGAGAAAACTGGCTAGCCACATGTAGAAGAATGAAACTGTATCCCTCTCACTTTATATAAAAATCAACCCAAGATGGATCAAAGACTTCAATCTAAGACCCAAAGCCATACAAACCGTAGGAGAAAACCTAGGAAAAACTCTTCTAGACATTGGCCTAGACAAAGTATTCATGACTGAAATCCCAAAAGCAAATGCAACAAAAATAAATAAATGGGACCTGGTTAAATAGCTTCTCTACAGCAAAAGAAATAATTGTCAAAATAAACAGACAACCCACAGAACGGGAGAAGATAAGACTTGTAAACTGTGCATGTGACAAAGAACTAGTATTCAGAAGCTACAGGGAACTCAAATCAGCAAGAAAAATAAATAATCCCACCAAAAAGTGGGCAAATGACATGAATAGACATTTCTCAAAAGAAGATATGCAAATGGTCGAGAAACATATGAAAAAATGTTCAACATCCCTAATCATTAGAGAAATGCAAATTAAAACCACAGTGAGATTATCAGCTTATTCCGTCTAGAATGGCCATTATTAGAAAGTCAAAATACAATAGATGTTTGTGTGGATGTGGTAATGCTTATACACTACTGGTGGGAATGTAAATTAATACAACCTTTATGGAAAACAGTATGGAGATTCCTTAAAGAACTAAAAGTAGATCTACCATTCAATCCAGCAATCCCACTACTGGGTATCTATCCAAAGGAAAAGAAGTCATTATATGAAAAAGACACGTGCACACATATCTTTATTGCAGACCAATTCACAATTTCAAAGATATGGAACCCACCTAAATGCCCATTGACCAATGAGTGAATAAAGACAACGTGATGTATATGTATATACACACCATGTAATACTACTCAGCCATAAAAAGGAATGAAGTAATGTGTTTTGCAGCAACATGGATTAAGCTGGAGGCCATTATTCTAAGTGAGATAACTCAGGAATGGAGAACTAAACATCAAATGTTCTCATTATAAGTGGGAGCTAATCTAAGAATACGCAAAGACTTAGAGTGATAAAATGGACTTTGGAGATTCAGAAGAGGAAGGGTATTGAGAATGTGGGATAAAAAACTGCATATTAGGTACAAAGTACACTACTTGTGTGATAGGTGTACTAAAATCTCAGAATTCATCACTAAATAATTTATTTATGTAATCACAACCACTTGTACTCCAAAAGCTATTGAAATAAAAATCAAAAGAAAAAAATACCATGAAACTGTTTCTCGTTTTCCCTTTATTGTGAGTCTGAAGTGACTTGTTTCTTAAATGCATTGAAGTTTTTTGTGTGTGACAACTTCTTCATAGTTAATGTAATGTATATGTGTATATCTACAGTGTAATGACAGATTATAAAGATTTTCTGTTTGTACATTTGATTTAAATGGTCTCTAAATTGCTTACATATGTGACTGGGTTCAGCCACCACCAGATGGGGGTGATGTTGTGCTCAAATCCAAATGGCCAGAAAGGCTTATGCTTAGATATGTGTTTGTATGTGGTAGAGATAAGCATATAGAAATTATACACACAAGCACACAAACCTTTTTTAAAACTAATTGAAGTTAATGTTGCTAAAATTTATATTTAACAGGTAATACTCATACCACATTTATGATTCTATTCATTCTTTTATCATATAGTGTAAAAAATTCAGGGTAACATCTAGACAAAAACAAGGAGCTCTTTTACTGTAAACATTAGTATGTTGTTTTTCGTACATTTTAAAGTTGCAAGCATTTCTAGATATGTGTTCTGTTTCATATGGTTGTTTAATAATGTTCATGGAAGCTCTGTGTTTTACCTTACTATCACCCCTTGCTGGAAGACTTATAAAGTTTGAGAACAATTTATTTAGCTTAAGGTACTTCCAACTAGTAATGTATCAAAGTTTTTTATTTCTTGGTTCTAAGGGATTTTCTTTTTCATTTGGATGCTTATGCCAATAGTTCTCAAGTTCTTTTCCCTTCTAGTATATATTACTAATAATATTAATTTGAAAAAAATGTGTCTTAATCTAAACAAAGTGCCTCAGAACTACAGGCTTATTCTATTGTTGACTGTTCCTTTAAAATTATGCTAGCTTTCTTCTTGATGAATTACAGCTTTGGGTCTCTAAGTATAATATTGTACAGGAAAATTAGGTGGGTTGTTCTACTTTTCATTGCCAAGATAATTTATTCCTTTATATATAGAAAAGCCAGTAACAATGTGAAACAGTTTTTATTAGTCTTTGTTTTGGTAAATATGGCAAATTAAGATTGCTAAAGGCTGTTAGAATGGTTGAATGTAAATTTATGATTATAGGTGTACCTGTAGAATTTTACACTTTCATATTGTATAAACAACAGGGCAGGGAGGCATGATCTTCTCAGAAACATATTCAGTAAAATAGCTTGCAGTTTTATTCATTTGTTTTTAACTTCTGTGTTAGAGATTTGAAATCTCTTTTGATGAATCAGAAATGTGATTTGATGAATCTTTTAATATCATATCCCAAAGGAAGATACATACTGATGACATGGTTTTATTATTACAACTAGGAATATATCCTGTTGCCAGTGGTGATAATCTATATTATTTCCTTATTAATTATATTAAAACTAAAGTTATTTCACTGTTGGAAAAAACCCTGAAATTATTATATCTGGTAAACCATTCTCTAAAATCCAATCCGTTTATACTATGTAACTAAAAAGTGCCAAATTAGATATCTAGGGATATATCTTATGGTGAATTTATTTTCGTGGGCACATCAAGAAGGCATGATCCTCAGAATGAGGTAGTACACAGAGATTTATGAAGTTGTTTCTGTAGCAATTACAGAGATTAGTAACATCTGCTTTGAAAAAGAAATCCGTATCTAAATTGCATGGTCTAGGGCTCTGGAAGTTCAGTTGTTCACTTCTCAAGTTTATCCAGAGTCGCTTCTTGAGGAGAATGCAGAATTTGTCAGCAAAAGTTCCTGAAAACCCCCTTCATATGTTCCAGGAAAGAACAATTGGATAGAATCTTATTTTTCAAGACAGGATGCCAACTCTTACATCTTAAATTGGTTTCCATGGCACGTGGATCTATATTCAGTGTAGCATACATTACTGATTGACTTCCCACTTCCTTTGTTTCCATTCTTTCTTTTTTACAGGGTCTCAGTTTGGTTGAGTGCTCTTCTTCCTAATAATATCTTTGGGCTCAAGGAAGGGACTACTTAATTGCTCCAGTGCTTAAATCATGATAGATCATGATAGTTTCATTCCTTTACGTAATGGTTTAAACGTGGACATGCGACTCATCTGGGCTCAGGAGACTTGAGGAGAAGTGAGCTGGGGGATGTTTTAGAAAGGTTTGCAGAAAAAAAATGTAGATGCAAAGGAGGAATTAGAGCTGGAGGTTAGATACTATCCCTACTTCTAAACTTTGAAACTGAGATACACTATTCGCCTATTTGCACTGAATTAACAGACTCCAGTTCCCTCTTTAACATTCCATTCTGTCATCTCATTTTAAAAATTTCAGGCTAGGCATGGTGGCTGACACCTCCTAGCACTTAGGGAGGTCTGAGGCAGCCTGATCTCTTGAGGTCAGGAGTTCGAGACCAGCTGGGCCAACATGGTGAAACCCCACCTCTACTGAAAATACAAAAAATTAGCTGGGCATGGTGACGTGCTCCTTTAATCCTAGCTTCTCAGGAGGCTGAAGCAGGAGAATGGCTTGAACCTGGGAGGCAGAGGTTGTAGTGAGCCAAGATTGTGCCACTGCACTCCAGCCTGGACAACAGAGCGAGACTCCATCTCAAAAAAAAAAAAAAAATTTACTCCTCTTCCCTTTGTTTTTTAAACTTTTCTGGATAGGTTAATAGGAATACCTTACGTTAGTGTGGTGATTTTCTTTTTTAAATTTTAGAATGGTAAGTACGCTTAATATGAGATCTACCCTCTTAACAGATTTTTAAATGTATAATATGGTATTGTTATCTATAGGCATGGTATTGAACAGCAGATCTCTAGAACTTACTTATCTTGCTTTACTAAAATTTTATGCCCATTGATTAACAACTCCTCATTTCTTCCTCTCCCCCAGCCCCTGGCAGCCACAATTCCATTATTCGCTTCCATGCATTTGTCTATTTTAGATACCTTATGTCAGTGGAATCATGCAGTATTTGTCTTTCTGTGACTGGCTTATTTTACTAAGCATAATATCCATAAGATTCATCCACATTGTTGCATATTTCAGGATTTCTTTCTTGTTTAAGTCGGAATAATATTCTGTTCTATGTATATATATCACATTTAAAAAATTCAGTCATCAGCTGGTGGACATTTAGGTTATTTCTGTATTTTGGCTGTTGTAAATAGTGCTGCTGTGAACATGAGAGTGCAGATACCTCCTCAAGATCCTATTTCAGTTATTTTGGATAAAAACCCAGAAGTGGGACTGCTGGATCGTATAGTAATTCTATTTTTAATTTCTTTGAGGAATCACCATACTATTTTCTATAGGGGTTGTACAATTTTGCATTCCCACTAACAGTGTAAAACGATTCCAATTTCTCCGCAACCTCACCAGCACGTGTCTGTTTTTTGTTGTTTTTGCTTGTTTGTTTTTTTTAATAATAACCATTCTAACGGATGTGAGGTGGTATCTCACTGTGGTTTCGATTTGCATTACTCTGATGACTGGTCAGATATTAATGATCTTTTTATATACTTGTTGGCTATTTGTATGTATTCTTTGGAGAAATGTCTATTCAAGTCCTTAGCTCATTTTTAATTGGGTTTTTATTTTTGCTATCGAGTTGTAAAGTCCCTTATACGTTTTGGAAATTAACCCTTTATCAGATACATGGTTTGTGAATATTTTCTCGCATTTCATAGGTTGCATTTTCACTGTCTTGTTTCCTTTGCTGTGCAGAACCTCTTTAGTTTCATGTAGTCGCACTTGTCTGTTTTTGCATTTGTTGTCTGTGTTTTTGGTCACATCTGTGAAATCATTGCCAAGACCAATGGTACAGAGTTTTTCCTCACGTGTCGTTCTAGGAGTTTTACAGTTTCAGGTCTAACGGCTAAATCATTAAGCCATTCTGAGTTGATTTTTGTGTATGGTGTAAGACTAAGGGTCCAATTTCATTCCCTTGCATTTGTATATCTAGTTTTCCTTGTATTTGTTGAAGAGACTGTCATTACCTCCTTGTGTATTCATGGCACCCTTGTTACACATTGGTTTATCATATATGCATGAATTTATTTCTGGGCTCTCTACTCTATTGCATCAGTTTGTCTTTCTTTTTGCCAGTACCATACTATTTAATTATTATAGCTTTGTGTATGTATATATAAAGAAGTATGATGATACCAGCTATATTATTTGTTTCTCAGAGTTCTTTTGACTATTCAGGGTCTTCTGTGGTTCCATATGAATTTTAGATTTTTTTTTCTATTTCTCTAAAAAATGACATTGGGATTTAGATAGGGATTGCATTGAATCTGTAGACCACTTTGAATAGTAGGGAAATTTTAACAGTATTCAGTTGTCTAATCTATGAACATTAGAAGTATTTCCATTTGTTTGTCTTCTTTAGTTCTTTAGTTTCTTTTATTTGTAGTTTTGAATATACAGGTCTTTCACTTTCTTACTTAAGTCTGTTCCTAGTATTTTATTCTTTGGATGCAATTGTAAATGAGATTGTTTTCTTAATATCTTTTTCGTATAGATTGTTGTTGGTACATAGGAATGACACTGATTTTTGTGTGTTGATTTTGTATTCTGCAACTTTACTGAATTTTTTATGTTAATAGTTTTTTGGTGGGGTCTTTATGCATTTCTGTAAATATTAGATCATGTTATCTGCAAACAGGGACAGTTTTACTACTTTCCTTTTGATTTGAATGCCTTTTATTTCTTTTTCTTACTTGATTGCTCTGGCTAGGATTTCCAACACTATAGAAGTTTTGGTGGAGCAGGTGCAGGCTAATACTTGTTTGTTCGTTTGTTTGTTTTGTAGAGACAGGGCCTTGCTTTGCCATTCAAGCTGGAGTGCAGTGGCAGTGGCGCAGACATATCTCATTGTAACCTCAAACTCCTGGGCTCAAGTGAGCCTCTTGCCTCAGCCACTTGAGTGGCTGGGACACAGGCATGCCACCATGCCTGGCTAATTTTTAATTTTTATTTGGTAGAGATGGAGTCTCGCTATGTTGTCCAGGCTGGTCTCGAACTCCTGGGCTCAAGTGATTCTGCTATGTTTGCTTCCAGAAGTGCTGGGATTATAAGTGTGAGCCACTGTGTCTGGCCTTGTTTTGTTTTTGATCTTAGGGAAAAAGCTTTCAGTCTTTCGCAACTGAGTATTTTGTTAGCTGTGTGTTCTTCATATATGACCTTTATTGTGTTAAGGAAGTTTTTCTTTTATTTCTGTTTATTAAATGTTTTTATCATGAAATGGTGTTGAGTTGGGGTGCTCTTCCTGCATCAGTTGAAATGGTCATGTGTTTTTTTCCTTTCATCCTATTAATGTGGTATATTATATTGATTGTTTTTTTGTTTTTTTTTTTTTTTTTTTTTTTTGAGACAGAGTCTCACTGTCACCCAGGCTGGAATTCAGTTACACGATCTTGGTTCACTGCAACCTCTGCCTTCTGGGTTCAAGCGGTTCTCATGCCTCAGCCTCCCAAGTAGCTGGGATTATAGGCGCATGCCATCAAACCCAGCTAATTTTTGTGTTTTTAGTAGAGATGGGGGTTTCTCCATGTTGGCTGGGCTGGTCTCCAACTGCTGACCTCAAGTGATCTACCTGCCTTAGCCTCCCAAAGTGCTGGGATTACAGGCATGAACCACTGTGCCCAGTCAGTTGATTGATTTTTGTATGTTGAACTACTCTTGTATTCCAGAGATAGATCCTAGTTGTTCATGATGTATGATCCTTTTAATACACAGCTGAATTTGGTTTGCTAGTATATTGTTGAGGATTTTTTTCATCTGTATTTATACAGGATGTTGGGCTGTTGTTTTCTTGTAGTGTCTTTGACTTTGATGTCAGGCAAATGCTGGCCCTCATAGACTGAGTTAGGAAGCATTCCGTTCTCTTTAATTTTTGGGAAGAGTTGTAGAAGTATTGATATTTACTCTTTAAATGTTCGGTCCAACTGGGTATGGTGGCATGTGACTGTAATCTCAGGTACTCAGGAGGCTAAGGTGGGAGGATCGTTTGAGCTCAGGAGTTCAAGACCAGCCTGAGCAGAATAGCGAGACCTTGTCTCTTAAAAAAAAAAAATAATTAAAAAATGAGTAAAAATAAATAAAAAATAAATAAAGTATTTGGCCAAACTCACCTGTGAAGTCATCTCGTCTGGGATTTCCTTTCTTGGAATTTTCTGCTTTCTTTTATGTTAATCAAATACTTTTGTGTCTTCTATTTTATTTTGTTTGTGCACTTTTTAGCTCTGTGCTTGTACTATTTTTCTAAGAATTACACTGTAATTCTTAGAAATTCACTGGAGATTGCAACATGCATCTTTAATTACCACAGTCTACTTAGTGTTGAATTACTTCAGGTGAAATAGTAGCTGCTTTGAAGTCTTTGCTAAGTCCCACATATTAGCCCTCTCTGAATCAATTTCTATTGACTTTTTTTTTCCTTTTCATGCATATGGATCATGTTATCTCATTTATTTGCATGTGAAATAAATTTTGGTTGAAAACTAGACATTATGGATAGTACATTTTATTGATTGTAGATTCTGTTATGTTCTCTGAGGATTGCTCATGTTGTTTTTGTTCTAGCCTGTAGAACAAATTTAACTTGTCTGGTCTTAAACTGTACATTATTTTCCCTGCATTGTGTAGTTGCTGGTTTTGCTCAGTTCTTTAATCTTACAGCTGCCACTTTGGGAGTGTAGTACCTTATGGTTTTCCCTGTACCTGTGTAGTTAGCTATCGCCAAGGATTCTGGCAAAGTTGGTACTAAAATTATGGCCCTTACCTCTTTTTCCTTTGTGTGTTTCTTCCCTATCCTTTCAGTTGCCGTGCCAGCCATGAGCTCAGTCCTCTGACATCGCAAGTTAGTAAGGCCCCAGCTTTCTGCCATTATAGCTGTGCACTGTTTAGGGAATGCTATCAGTCTGAAAAAGCAGCAGACTCACTCATTTTACAGATCTTGTAAGGGTAGATTCCTCTCTGACTTTCGATTGCTTTTTTCTCCAAATCCCCATTGGATCTCTGCCGCGCATATGTATGTTAATGATAAGGCGGGGATTTGGTCTTGCTCCTGTGGCTCTCAGGATTCCACCCACTGACCCCTCGTCCCCAGCTTTATGTGAAATAACTACTCTGCCTGCCCTGATTCCTGTTCTCAGCCATCTCCAGAATGTAAGTCTGTATCTATGGGACTTGGAATGGGAGTTGTGGTAGTGAGTGCCATTAGACAAAAATGACCAGACTTGGAATTCTTACTCATTGCAATTTCTATAATTAAAAGTAAATCTTTCTTTGGTTATTTCTGTCGCCTTCAAATGCAGTTATTCATCGTTTAATGATGGGGATATGTTCTGAGAAATGTGTCTTTAGGTGATTCATCTTTGTGTAAACATCATAGAGTGTATTTACACAAACCTAGATGATGTAGCCTACTACACACCTAGGCTATATGGTATATCCTATTGATGTTGCTGTATTGAATATTGTAGGCAGTTGTAACACAGTGGTACTTGTCTACTTAAATATATCTAAACATAGAGCAGGTGACATATTATGCTAAGGTCACTGTGGCTGTGACATCGTAGGCAATAGGAAATTCTCAGCTCCATTATAATCTTATGGGACCACTGTTACTAATTAAAGCATCATTATGTGGCACATGACTATGGTGTGTTTTTAGAAGTGCTTTATATAGGTTTAGAGCTTATCTGCTGGAAACTATGCCTGACCAGTTCACTCTGCCATTAGTGGAAGCTAGATGAAACTAATTTGTATTTGCCTGTTTCTCATAGGCACTCAAAGACTGTAAAATTGGATATGCATTGTAAATTTAAATCACTTTGATAACAATCTGTGTAGGTTGAGAGCTTATGCATTATTTTTAGTTTGAAATTGGAGGTAATATTAAATATAAACTTAAATTTTATGTATATAAAATTTCTGTACTCCCAAAGAACAAACGGATATAAGAATGTTGTCAAGTACCTTTACTTTGGTTTTTGGGGTCTATTGCTATTAAATTACTTTGTTTTGAAAAGATGACATGTCTTGTGGAAATTTTTAATACTCAAATTAGTTTCATGTTATTATTTTTCTAGCTATTTAACAATTTATTTTCTAAGGCACATCTTTCCCTTATTTAGAAGAACAGCAGAAGATCTGTGTCCCAATAGAAGTTGTTCTTTCTTTTTGCCAAAACTAATTCAAAGTAGCAACACCTTTTTCATAGTCTTTGAATATATTTAATATGGGGATTCTAAGAGATTCTAGATGTTGCATGTGTTGAACTCATGGGTCTTGTCACTGGTTTAAGTTCGGTCTTGTTTCTATGACAAGAACAGTGTTGTGCTTTCTAGAAGATATCATCTAAGCCTGTGTCTTCCAATGTGACTTTAGCCTTGTGGTGACATTATTTAGGGATTGAGATTTGTGGGACACAGGCAGTTAAGCAAAGAGAGAGGAGTCTAAAATTATAAATAAGTTCTGTTTTACAATGAGAAATTTAATTTATTCAGCCTTAAGTTATGTTCACATATTTAGATATTCTTTGATTTCAAGAGAAGTAAGGGCTTAGTGATAATAGCTATTCTAATTGATGGATTTACTCATAGTGGTAATATTTAATGATACAATTGCTCAGTATTTTGAACTCTAATGCTTTTGATCCTAACAACTTTTGAGGCTAAAGGATAGTATCTTACTCTGTTTTGTACTGCTGTAAAGAATACTACAGATTATATAGTTTATAAAGAACAGAAATGTAGTATCTCACAGTTCTGGAGGCAAGAAAGTCCAAGAACAAGTTGTTGCCATTCAATGTGGGCCTTCGTGCTGCATCCTTACGTGGTGGAAGGTAGAAGGGTAAGAGAGATGAACTCTGTGTTCCTTTGTGGGATAAGAGCAGAAGTGAGAGAACCCACTCCTGCAAACCCTTTTTATAGCAGCATTGCTGTATGTGTACATAAGGTGGAGCCTATATGAGCTAAACATCTCCCAAAAGGCCCCACCTCCCAACACTATTACATTGGGGATTAAACTTCCAGCATATGAATTTTGGGGGACACATGCAGACTACAGCAGATCATGACATGTTCTCTGGTGTTTTTTCTGACTTCAAATCAGTGCAGCTCAACAAGTATGGCACAATAGGCAGAATAATGGTCCCCCAGAGAGTCCTGTTTTAATCCTTGGAACCTATGAATATGTTAACTTACATTGCAAAAGGGTCTTGGCAGGTACGTTTAAATTATAGGCTTTGAGATGGGGAGATTATTCTGGATTGGAAGATGAAGGCAGAAGAGTGGGTAGGTGATGGATGAAGAGACAGGAAAGATTTGAAGCATGAGAAGTACTTGATTTGCCATTGTTGGCTTTGAAGATGAAAGAAGGAGATCATAAGCCAAGGTATGTAGATGTCTTCTAGAAGCTGGGAACTGTCCTCAGCTGATAGCCTGCAAGGAAGTGAGGTCCTCAGTTCCACAACCATAAGGACTTCCATTCTGCCAGCAACCTAAATGACCAGGGAAACAGATTCTCCCCTAAGGGCCTCCAGAAGGGAATACAGCCATGGAAACATCTTGGTTTTAGCTTATTGTGACCTGTTTTGGACTTTACCTTCAGAGCTATAAGGTAACAAATTTGTGCTTTTTAAGCCTCTAGGTTTGTGGTAATTTGTTACGGTAGCAATAAGAAACTAATACATGCAGCATTTGTACCACGTCAGTTACATGGAAAGAGTACTGTTTGTTTTGGAGGAAGAAGAATGATTTTTGAAGCTCTTCTCTAGAAAGACATTAGAGTTAAAACAAAGCAAAATAAACTACACACACACACACACACACACACACACACTACCCATTGTTGTTTTTGGTTTTTTGTTTACTATGTTTTGGCTCTTCTGACAGAAAAGTGCCAGAATTGTAAGACGTTTTATTGCCAGAAACTAGATATTTTTTTATACACAGATACAAAATATTAACTGATGATTTAAAAATAAACAGCTGTAATGGGATATTGCTTATAAAATATCTTTTATATGTGTCCATCTGTTTATGTGTCTGTTTTGGAATTATGCAGATTAATGAAGTTCATTCTTAGTCTTTGGGATACTTATGGGATATTATCACAGATCTGGCTACAGGGGCAGGGTGAGTCTGTTTCTTCATCATGGTTATTTAATTTCTTACAGAAGAATATATTTATTCAAGATTTTAGTACAGTGAGTAGGAAATTTCTCATGGAATTTTCTATTGAGGCTGCTTCTTCAAAATCATGTTTGTTTCACATTGTATTGTGAGGAATCCTTGTGATTTGGATGAAAGGAATGTTGAGCTGTTTTACTCTGGTCCCCTAATTTTGCTTTGTTGAGGGTAGTTTGCTTTTATCTTGTTTATAAATTTGAGTTTTGTAAACTATTTTATTTGGAAAAGAAAAAGTTCCTTTGCTAAAAGGGCTTTGAAAATGAAAGCCATATTTTTTCCTGGGAGAAGTAATAGAACATTCATTGGCAGCTGTAGGGTACGAGCCTTCACCTGGGAAAAGACTTGAGGAAGAATTGCATCTTGGGACAAAGTGGAGAGCATGAATGGTTAACATATGTATCAGCAGTCTATGTGGAGTAAGAGAGTGAGTAGGATAAAATGGTGTTTTATTGGGATGTGCTGTATGATAACCCACATCCTCCAGCTTGATCTAGTTACTCTTCAGGGATGGAAGAGTACCCAGGATATTGATCTCTTCTTTGGAAGATAAAGAAGCAAAGTAATCTCTGCTTGGTCTTTTCCATTAATGCCAAGTTGTGATAATTGCAGGACAGAAGGTAGAGGATAGAGAGAAGGTATTTTGTTTGTATGCTGTTGTTTTTGATGAAGTTTGAAGATACTGAGGAATAGCCACCTAATCGATTGATTTAGAGACTTTCTACCTAAAACTAAGTAAGAAATTGATATTTTAAAGTGAGTTAAATGGTAGCAACAACAACAAAAACTGCAAGGATTAGTTAGGAAGACTTCTACTGAGGGTAAATGACTTTGAATAAATCTTGTTGAATGGGCACATGGAGGCTAGGTATTTTAAGATAATAATGAGAACAACACCGTATTCATAAATTTTTTCCATCAAAGTAATACTTTACTAATACTTTAGAGGCTTCATAATATCATAAAGTGATGCCATAAACTATTGTAATCATTTCTGCTGTGTAATTTGTGATTGAGAGACAAGAAAGAATAGGCTTTGAAACCATTTAGATCTTGGTTTAAATCCCATTTCCATCCCTGTTTCTAACTGTGAATTACCAGAAGTTAACTTCTCACTCAGGTTTCAGAGGACTGTTAGGAAGATATAACAAGCCAGAGTAGATTTCCTTTGACCCTGCCCAGTATATAGTAGGTCCTCAAAATATTGCTTTCCTCCTGTTTTCTTTCTTTAGAAATATAACTAAACAACAAATTTGTGTGATATTTTGATGTCACACACTTGGATCACTTGGAGCATACATCATAATCTGTGATCATGTGTTCTACTTCTGTGTGCTCAAAAATACTATTCCCCATCCCCCATTACATCATGTAATGCTTTTCTTGGAAAAAAAAAGATGGTATTTTTGTACACACATTTCTCATGCATATTTTTCTGGGAACAAGATATTGAAGTATTACTGTAAAGATTTCTGCATTAAAGATGGACACTGGCAAGACACCGTGGCATGTGCCTGTAATCCCAGCTACTTGGGAGGCTAAGGTGGGAGGCTCTCTTGAGCTCAAGGGTTTGAGGTTATCCTGGGCAATATAACAAGACCCTATCTTGGAGGAGGAGCGGGATGGGGGACGATACTGGAAGAGAGTAGAAACATTTAAGAAAAGTGAAAATCAAGTCTCTGAAATTTCTGTTGAGGTGAGAAATCATAATCATTCCTTTTAAAAATAATTTATTCCTTTAAAAAATAACTACATCATATAATTGAATTGAAAATGCGTTTGTTAGTTGTTTTTTAAATAAAATTTCAGAATAATAATGATAAAAGTTTCCATTGATTGCTGTATGGCAGGTATTATGCTGAACATTGTTTGTGCTTATCTCATTGAAGCTTCCCAACTCTGTGAGGTAGATGCTATCATTTTGCAGATGGGCAAAGAGAATCAGAATAAGATTACGTAGCGTTCCCGGATCACACAGCTAGTAGGAAGAAGACTTGGATTTCTTTTTCTTTTTTTAAAAAAAATCTCTTGGACAATTATTTGCTGTGTTGCAAGTTAGTTGTTGAATACATATGCCCTTAAAGTTTTTGATATGACTGGGAGGCTTTCTTTGAGGGTCATTCCTTTATAAGTAGTTATTATGTTACATACTTAACGTGCATTCTGAAGTAAGTATTTGAGGTTACAATGTGAGTTTTCTTCCTCACTAAACATAGATTTTTTTCTTTTTTAACAATGGGTGAACTTGTTTTCTTGGACTTTCACTTTTATTTTTTCAACTTGTACTCTGGTAGAGGTGGTAATGGGGATCAGACTTCTGTAAGACAAAAGTATATGTGAACTTAGAACTTCAGTAAAATTTGGGTAGGGTTATAACAGTATTGTTTGTCACCAGAAGCTGAGTGAACTATACAGCTTTCTTTTTTAAATTTAATGTGATAGATGGCACCTCTTCCATTGATGCGGCCTGCATTTTCTTTTCAACCATCATTTATCTCGGCTGAGATATGAGATTGGTTTGAGATTTAAATGTGTTCATTTTTAATATTCCAAGAAAATAAGAATACATTTTAGCGAAGAGTTTATATTTTGCTTCTGTTTACTTAAATGTATTTTAGAGAACATTTAAGGACATTAACCAGGCATCATTTAAATGGTCCCTGCAGTTTTAACATTTTAGTGAAGTATGAAAAAAGTACATACACTGTAAATGTACAACTTAATGAATTATCACCTCTATAGTTTTCATAGCCTGGCCTAATTACAGATACAAGAAAATAGAGAAAAACTTTTTCAAGGAACATTCCAAAGGTTGGAAAAATCACAATGTTTGGTTGCTCAGGTCTCTAAAAATGGAAAATGGCAGGTTTCATATATGTGACATTATAACTTTGGGGAAATACATAGTTTTGAATGCAGGAGGAAGAAATGAGAAAAATGCTGTTATTTTTTTTTTAATTTTTTATTAATATTTTGAGGCAGGGTCTTACTCTGTTGCCCAGGTTGGAGTGCAGTGGTGCAATCTTGGCTCACTGCAACCTCTGCCTCCTGGGCTTAGGTGGTCCTCTCACCTTAGGCTCTTGAGTAGTTGGTACTACAGGCGTGCACTACCATGCCCAACTAATTTTTGTATTTTTTGTGGAGGGATGGGGTTTTACTATGTTGCCCAGGCTGGTCTTGAATTCCTGGCCTCAAGTGATCCACCTTCCTTGGCCTCCCAAAGCGCTGGGATTACAGGCGTGAGCTACCACACCCAGCCTATTATTCTTTTGGCTTAAACCAAATAATTGATAATTATTATATGTTTTCATCTTTTTCACTTTCTTCAAAATATTACAAGGGAATGAGCATGTTGTATAGTATGCTCATAAATAAAAGATAACAGAAAGCAAAACACAAGAGAAACAAGACCTGGATGTCTTAGTCAACAACTTAGTCTCAATCTGGACAGTACTTTGTGAGAAAATGTATTTTTCTAAATATTGTATCCAGAAGACCAATTTATTTTATTTTCACAGGCTCTATTTTTCATATATATTTTTTATTTAATAATATAATTTTACACTTATGTTTGGTTATTATCAGTATGGACCCAAAATGTAACAGAGGAAGGAATTTTTATGAAGGCCTGCCATGTGCTATATTTTAAAATTTTTTTAAATAAATGGGCTTGGAATAATCAGCTCAATTTTGTATATTTTTAAAATGAAATACTACTGTCATAATGCTTTCAATGGTTTAATAAAACAATGTTTCTTATAAATATTTTTAATTTGTAAAGTTACATTAACAATATATGTTCATTGTGAAAACTAGAAAATTGAGGCATATGTTGATTGCTGAAAATTAAAAACTACAGATATAACCTTGAGATTCATTATCAGCATTTTCAGAAACTAACCTCTCAACTGTTTGCTTATGCATTACTGTGTTTATTATACATACTATTTTGTACCTAAGATTACATTATGGACATAATGCCATGTTAATAAACATAAATCTATGTCATAATTTTAGTGGCTGGATAATATTTAAAAACTATCCAATACTTTATGTAATAATCTATTGTTAATTATTTTAGTCATACTTTTTTTTTTTACTGGTATAGACACTGTTTTGATCATCCTTAAACATACATCTTTGCACAGTTGTTCAATTTTTTTCCTTATGATACATTTTAGAAGTTGAATTTCTTGGTCAAAGGTCATGTTTGAGGTTTTTGCTTAATATTTCAAAATAAAATATATTTTGTGTAGTAATGTGAAAAATACTCATAGGTTTATCAAAATTATTAGTCATAAGCATTTAAAAATTATTTGCTAGCCAGGCACGGTGCCTCACACCTTAATCCTGATACGTCGGGAGTCCCAGGTGAGAGGATTGCTTGAGGCCAGGAGTTGGAGATCAGCCTGGGCAACATAGTGAGACCCCCATCTCTTAAAAAAAATTAAAAATTGTTTGCCAAGCACATATGAACATTGGTATATTAGTTTTAAAATTTATTCTAATTTGGATTTGTTTTTGCTGTATGTGGTTGAACAGTTTTGTGTTTGTCATTCTTTTTCATTGATGAGTTACCTGTTTGTATTCTTTGCCTATTTTCCTTTTGCCATGTTGGTTTGTAACTATTTTTTATACAGTAGAGGTAAATTTGCTTTACTACATAGGTTGTAAATGTGTTTCCCAGTTTATTCTTTGATGTTTTAGGTTTAATTTTAGAAGTTTTATAATTATACTTGTTAATATTTTACTTAATAATGGATTTATTTGATTCCTCACCACAATATTACAAAAATATTCACCTCCATATTCTTGGATATTTTTATGATTTTACTTTTATCTATCTGCTATTTTTTTGGTATAACTTAGGCACATAGCAACCACATCTCACAACTCTAGGCAGTACCATTTACTGTCACATAGACTATAATGTGAACTGTGCCTCCTGGAGTTGTACAACTCACTGACTTTGGGAATGGTTAAGCATTAAACCCTGTTTTTCCATTGTTTAGTTACTTTTCCAACACTACTTAATGAATAATCCATCACTTCACCACAGATTTGAAGTATCTTATTTTTCATAATAAATTCTTACATTTGCTTGAGTCTTGTATGGACTTTCTATTGCAGTTCAGTTGTTTGTCTATTTTCCTTTTTTAAATCCTGGGATTATGGTTTTTGTTGCATTTTAGTTATTATTCACTTATTACTATTTACAGCTAGATTTTTTTAGTGTTTTCTTTTTTATAGTTTTTAATAGGAAAATATAATTGGACGTACGCATTTTCCACTGGCATTTTTTTTCCAAGACTGTGTCTTTGAGTAATTTGTAAGGCATCTTAATTCTACATTTGAAAAATATGAAGACATTGCTGCAATATCTGGATTTGAATTGTTTTCTGTTATATATTATGTTGTATTTTAAGTCTCGGTGATGTATCTGGTTGAAGATTTGTGATCAGGGGTTGAAAATGAGCAGAATTGTATTTTAGGTAAATGGAAATGGAAATTGTGAGAGATTGCTAGCCTCTGACTTGATTTCTTCACCTCACAGTGGTCTAGGATATTGAGGGCGTAAACTATGATGATGGAAATAGAAAGTGAAAATGTATGTTTTTCACCATACACTTCCATACTGGTAAGTCTAGAAAGACTTTCTCTAGGCTTTGGGATTAAATTATAATTTTTTTTTGGCCTGGCAAACACGAATATAACCTATTTTTCAGCTTTATCTCTGTCTGTTTCTACATTCATAGAGTGTGGAGTATACTAGTGTCAAAGTGAATTGTTCCCTGGAGACTTGCTTTTCTTGCTTCTGTATAATTGCCCAAGTTTGTGCCTCTGCCTAATATGCTGTCCTTGCCCTGATGCCATCAGCCAGTCTCATCCCTCATTCGGAGTTCATTTCCAGTGCCATTTGTTTTCTACAGCTTTTCCAGGTACATGTGCCTCCTTTTCCTTTGAGCCCAATTGCTCTTTACTTATATTCTTATGATATTTTGCTTTGTGACATTGATGTTGGCATATTTATCTTATCTCCTCTGCTTCTGTAAGCAAGTACAACCCCAATGTTTTATGAAATGTTCAAATTTGGCATTAAGTGAGGGCTAAGTGCTATCATAATGGACCCTTTAAAAGTGCTTTTATAATTTTTTTCAGTGCTTACAAGATAAAAGACTTGTATACTATAGTAACTGGGATTTATGATTACTGTTGTCAGACAATTTAGTCTGGTGTATTTGTGTCACTAGATTCTGTGACATGTTATTCACTAAGTTTTTAGAAACATTTATGTAGTTTGAGAAGCTAGTTACATTGTAAAATTGGTAAGCATATGTGTTAATATAAATAGTACCCATAGAAGAATAATTGTATTTAAAAGTGTCTTATTTCTTGTATTTGACAATGGTGATAAAACATTTGTGTAGTGTCTTTTATCATGTAGTTCAGAACACAGTTAGCTCTTATTGTATGCTCTAACTGTATCTTTGAATCAAATCATCAGTTTTGAGGATCAGAAATTTCAGGCAAAGTAGACTTTTCTTAAAATTAGTTAATGAAAGTTCAGTTCTTTAGCTTATTTCAGAATTTGGTAACAGCAACCTCTGCACAAAACAGAGTGGCATTCTCGAGATTTTAGTCTTCGCTTCAGCTCTGGTGGCTATTCAAGTTTTTGTTCTGCACTTAACCATTTCTCTGTCAATTATTTTCCCTAATTTTGTTGAGAGAGAATATTTATGGAAGGTATTTCTGAAGGTTATCAGTCCATGCTCCATTTCTCTTAATTAGTGAATCTCTGAAGGTCGTGGGGTAAGGGAAGGAGAAGGTAACTGTACTAGAAAACCTAGAGGCCATTTTTGTTTTTAAGACACTTGTCTTCTTTTCAGTTGGAGGTACTACCCTCCTCTTTCTACACAGTCTGATTGACCTCTTAGGTGTGTTACGAAATGATTCAAATCCACTGTTTTAACATTCAAGAATCTATCCCTGGATTAAACCAGAGTTGCAGAGGGTTTTATACCTAGACAACCATTCCCATCTAATTCTTTTTACTTAATTTCACTTTAGTTTGATGTTATTATTGTACATTGAGGAAAACTATAATCATTAGCTATGTGAGACTTCTTGTTGCCTTTTCTATAAGGTTGTTGTGGCCAGTGTTATACATTGAGGGATATAAGAAACAACCATGTGAGACTTAAGGTATCATTAAGTGTATATAGTTGTGGAATATATAGTTGTGGAAAACATTGAGAAGACCCATAGAGACATGGGAAGGCCCATGAGAGTCACTGCTCTCTGGTCTTAGTACCAATAGTTTGTACTTCTACTGAGCATCTAGGGAGTTTTTAATCTTACCAATGCTGAGACATGTAATCAGCTCCTTTTCCCTGTTTAAATGACCTAGTAGAAAGTATGTAGAATTCAAAGAAAGAGCCTAAAATAAAAATTAAAAAGAAATCATAAGGAGCAATTTGTGGCTCACCTCTTGTAAGAATACAGGACTTAATGATACAAGTATTGTTTCATTCTTTTCATGCTGTTTGCTCTGATTTTATTATTTTTTCATTTAGTTCAGTTGTGTCTAAAATTCTTAAAGTCATCTTGCTGGTAGCGTTGGTGCACGCCTGTCACCCCAGCCACTCGAGAGGCTGAGCAGGGAGGATTGCTTGAACCCAGGAGTACAAGGCCAGCCTGGGCAACCTAGTGAGACCTTGTCTCAAAAAAGAAAAATAAAATGCTAAAGTTATTTTATATTATCTTTAGGATAAGGGAGGATATATATAAATAAAATTATATCTAACATTTACCAGTTTTGCTTCCCTGCTTTCTTCCTAACACTGATGATGATTTTTATTTTAGTTTTGGATTACATACTCTTTGGAGGATCTTACTGAATTTGTGAATCTTTGTTCTAGGAAAAAAAAAAAATGTATAACCATACCCGTGACATTTTGCATCTGATTTAGGGTACTTTATGAGACTCTAGGAAACCCTATACTAAAGCCACTGTTTATCTGGAATATATTACTTGGCAAATATTTTTCTATAACGTGGCCATATTCAGTCACCTGAATTATTGAGTTATGGTCTTTGTATCTTTTTTTTTTTTTTTAGATGCAGTTTTGCTCTTGTTGCCTCCCAGGCTGGAGTGCAATGGTGCGATCTTGGCTCACCACAACCTTTGCCTCCCAGGTTCAAGCGATTCTCCTGCCTCAGCTTCCCAAGTAGCTGGGATTACAGGCATGCACCACCACACCCGGCTAATTTTGTATTTTTAGTAGAGACAGGTTTCTCCATGTTGGTCAGGCTGGTCTCGAACTCCCAACCTCAGGTGATCCACCCACCTCAGCCTCCCAAAGTGCTGAGATTACAGGCATGTGCCACCATGCCCAGCCTTGTCTTTGTGTCTTTAAGTTGTATTCACTAGCAGCTGATTTTCAATAATGCTCATTTTCAATAAGTTGTGATAGGTTAGTTTCATGATTAAATCAATGAAAATACTAAAAACCAAAAGTAATAACAAAAGATAATATCGATGTGGTTGGAAAAAGTTCTTAGTGAAAGGGTTAATAAGAAATGTTCCTAGAGTAGTGTTTCCGTAATACCATTTGCGGCATTTATCAAGTATCAGTGTTACCTAAACTATTATAATACAGAATAGGAATTTAAAGGATGTCATAAAATTATCAAAGATTAGGTTGCTGTTTACTAAATTGCATTAATGGTACAAAGTAAATAATAACAGCAAAAGAAAAATGTTTGATTCAAACCTCTACCTAACCTGAATGGCATTTCTTCAAAACATACAAAATACAATTTGTAAGTATTTTCACTGCAAGTTTATTTTAGAAGTAATTCTTTTATGTCAGTTATGTTTTAGCGGAAGTTTTATAGTGAAATGAACAAAAATGTGCAAGAATAGTACTTCTGGTTTGAGTAAGAATTTTATGAAAAATAGTAGCCATGCAATTTTATAATTAATTGAGTAGTATGGTTGAGTGAAGTACATAACAGTTTATGGTGAATGTTTTGTGTTTGATAGCATTTTATCTTCTGAGAGTATATGGTTTTTAAAGGAAACTTTTGTCTAGATAACCTTGTTTAAAGAAACAACATTATATTTCTTAGAAATCTAATGTAGTACTGGATTATAGTATATATAATCCAACTAAAATTTAATCAGTTAAAATGAAGTAAATGGAGGAGTTTTTTTCAAGAAGGCAGTACAGTCTGAATTAAGAGCTGCTTCTGTGCCTTTTCATTTATTACCTGAATATCACCTTGATACATAGTCTGTCTTCTGATATCTAAAGTAGTAATTGTTAAACGTCAGCACACAAATCACCTGAGAGTACTTATTAAAATATATATTGGTTGGGCTTGGTGGCTCACACCTGTAATCCCAGAACTTTGGGAGGCCAAGGCGGGAGGATTGCTTGAGACCAGGAGTTTGAGACCAGCCTGGGCAACATAATGAGACCCTGTCTCTACAAAATTTTTTTTTTTAATTAGCTGGGTATGGTGGTGCCTGCCTGTAGTCCGGGCTACTCAGGAGGCTGAGGTGTGAGAATCGCTTGAGCCTCAAGAGTTCGAGGCTGCAGTGAGCCATGATTGTACCACTGCACCCCAACCTGGGTGAGAGAGCGAGTCCCTGTCTCCCCCACCAAAAAAAAAAGATTTTTTTTTCAGGACTGCAACCTCAGAGATTCTGACTCAGTAAGTCAGAGAGTCAGAGATGGGGCCCAGGAATTGGCATTTTAAAAAGTACCACAGAATCTCTGATAGAGGTGGACTACATTTTGAGAAACAACCTTCTAAACAAGATACAACAATAGGGTCTGAGGTTAAAAATTTGTTTTCAATTCCACTAATATTTACTTACCAGTCAGTATGTATCAGGTACTTTTTTGGGAGGCATTATAAAAGCAGTATAAAGGTATTATAAAAGTAGTGCGAAAGTACATTAGTATTACCAACTGTTATTGTATTGTGTGCATTTAAGACAGTTTTTATAAAGTAGGTAGCTACAGTTTGCTAGCATTTTGTTGTTTATAAGAAGTGATAGGTGGAAAAAATTTAACAGCAAAAGAAAAGACAAAGCTTTTTAAGAATTGAGAGTGAGACTTTTAAAGTACAGAGTATGTAAATTTGATATTTTATATTTCAACCTGTCCTAAGGCATTAGCAATATTTTGGATGAAATATATATCTTTGATTCTTCTTTACCCAATCAATATGCAGTATACCCAACCAGTGTACTCAGTTTATAGTATATGACGTATGGGATTGTGTGTAATATTACTGGCTGATTGAAGTATAAATATGTTAATATATAATTATTACCTCACTACAGTCCCATATGTATTTCTCACTCCTACAGTCTACGTTTAATATGGCCAGTGCTCTCATTTGTTAGCATTAATATTTTAAAATTTTATATTAAATTTAAATTTTAATTTTTCAAATCTTATGAGTATTATGTGTCCACAGCTGTCTGAGGGAAAAGCAGTTTCCCCATAACCTTGTCATCCTCGCTAGCCACTTTCTCTCTTCATCCTGAGAAATTGGTTGATGTGCTTTGGTAGTCTGCCTTGCTTAATACCTCTGAGAAAAATATGACATATTGCTCTCATGGAAGCAGGGTGATGAAAATGACCTCAATCCCAGACAGACTTAGCTCACCTCCCTTATCTTACTTGATGCTTCGGGGTTTGATAGTGGCAGGGAGTTGATATTGGTGTCAGTGACAGGAATGACAGCACATTTTACCACTTGCTGGTGCAAGTACAAAGCTGTCATATTTGAAAGCCATGGATACAGCTTATGGAGGCCTGTAGAAAATGTATGAATAGAATGGGAGAGACACGTAGGATTATTTTCACATGTTGTTTTAATATGAGCAAGGGAAGAAATATTATTGTGATTACGTTCACTTGGCTCTTTTTGTCCTGAAAAAAATGAGTATTTCTTAAAAGTTATGGCTTTTGTATTAGTGGTAAGCCCACTTTTCCATTTGTTTCCACATTTCAATGCCATTTTGTTCTAAATATCTGTAAATTGTAATATTTAATATTTATTCTGCTTGTTATGATGCATTGTTTGTTGTTATATTTCTAGTATGTGCAGCCTGTCAATGGGGGTGTCTTTTGCTTTTTCGAATGCTTTTTAGAAAAAAGTCAATCTTCAAATTAGTTTTCTTTTGTGAGCTCTAACCTACAATTCTGTATTCTATTCGTATTTCTCTAAGAGCTTAGCATCTTTGAATATTTTAGGTCTTTTTCCAGCCTCATCTGGGTTCTTTTATCTCCTTACTTTCTCTTTTACGATATGATCTGAACTTTTAAAATTTCTAACATTTATTATTGGTCAACTCATTTTTAACTTTCTTAGAGTTCACTGCAGTCCCTGAGTGGGGGCTTACATTCATGAGTACATACAAGTGCTCATCTGAGATACAAAGAAAATAGTTGGTCAAAGTTTACTTTAGTTTTCTTATTTCTCATCTTATTTAGTGAAAAGGATAAAAGAAATACATTATTTTATGGTTTTCCCATTGCTTCTTGCCGTCATTCTGAAATATAACCTTCTCAGTTGCCAAAGGTAACTTGGCTATTAAAAATTTTAATTTTTAATTGAAACTGAAAATGTGAATTTTCTAACATGATTTTGAAATACAGTTTGAAGCCACTTAAATGGACAGAAAAAGCTTTATTTGCCCTTTCATTACTATTATCCTTTAGAAATGTTGCTATTTTAAAACATTTTAATTAAAAACTGTTTTTATGTAGCCATTAACAAAGAATGAGGATGATATGTTTATAAAGAGTTGGATGGATGCCCATAATAAATTATTCAGGGAAAAAAGCAAAGGATGACATTTGTGTGTTTCACTTCATATACATTGGTATTTTCTCACTGTGTATTTTTATAGTTAAAATAGTTGTTAGAAAATATGTGTTTAATGGAAAAATGGAATGAACCAATTGAAAAATATATAAAATAGATAATTTAAAACGTCAATTCGAAATTTTCATTCTGAATAGCTTCTAATAACTAGAACATTATTTAATGTTATTTTACTTCATTGAGTTTTCCGCCTTGCCAGATATTCTTTTTGTTTTTGCCTGTGTTATCAATGTAATTTATGCAAAGCATAATTAAATAGTTATTTGAGTATTGCGGGTAATCTGTTTCTTATGGTCTTCCTTATGGTCATCATTTTTAATTCTTCAGTCTCTTATGCCAGTTTTCTTTCCTAGCTAGTTAGTAAATATTGACTCTGCCTTCACGTTGCCTGTCACATCTGTACACTCCCTTGTCAAGCTAGTGCCATCACTTTTTGCCAGGCCTTTCACTAGCTATGAAGGTGATGGCAGCAGCTTCCTATCTTCTGTGTCTCATCAATTCTGTGTATTGCTGCTTTATTTGTTTTTTTGAAGCTCATTTTTTCACCTTGTAATTCCCCTGCTCAGATACCTCTTCTAGCATAAGATAGAAGGCTTTCTGTCTTATGACCCAAATTTAACTTTCTAGATAACTTCTCGCTACTGTATTACCTTTCTTCCAAAGAACAATTTGCTCTTCCAGAATATGCTGCAGCAGCTTTATTCAGCAATGTTTTTCTTTTTACTGTTCTTAAATTCAACATGATCCCTTTCTTCTAAAGTCTATTAAGAACTTTATTCTTCTTTTATAGTATTTACCACATCTACCTCTGATTTTAGGTAATGCCATACTTTTTAATACCTTGACTCTAGATTTTAAGCTCTTGAGGGTAATGACTCTTTCATATAATTCAAAGTATCTGCCAAAATGCCTCTTTTCTGTAAGATTTTAAATGCTAATTGAATCACAAAGCTTACTTAATTGTGTAATCATGAAATGCAATAAAATTAAAAGTTTTATTGACTTTGGGAGGTAGCCTTGAAATACTATGTGGAATAAGCCCTACTAAGGTCCTGTTTTCTAATGATTTTAGATTTTTTGACCCTTAAGTCTAATTTCAGTTCAATGAGGAATCTGGTTTTTAATGCCCAAGGAACTGAGATTTTGCTACACATTCGTTCCCCCCTTATCTTCAGGTATACATCCCAAGACCACCAGAGGATGTCTGAAACTATGGATAGTATTGAACCCTATATATAGTATATCATGTACTATGTTTTTTTCCTATACATACATAACTATGATAAAGTTTAATTCATATATTAGGCACAGTAGGCTATAACAACAACTAATAATAAAGTAGTACAATTATACATAAATTTATAAATAAGTTTAAATATAACAATTTAAAACTTATAAATTGTTTATTTCTGGAATTTTCCATTTAATATTTTTGGACCACAGAGTTGACCATGCTAACTGACCATGGGTAACTGAAACTGCAGCAGGTAAAACCATGGATAAGGGGAGACTACTGTTATTTTAGTTAAAGGATGAAAGAATAGAACATACAACTAAAAATTGACTTGGGTCAGAAGTACAGAATTATCATGAATGGCCCTTTTAAAAGACATATAATTATAAATAATTCTACCTTCACAATAAGTTTGAACATTTGTTCAGTAGTAGTTGGTAGAGTAACAGCTCCCTTAAATTAACACACAAAACAAAGCAAATAAAATTTACCACATCTTGTTGAGCTCATCTTTGGTTGGTATTTAAAATACTATGCGGAATAAGCCCTACTAAGGGCTACTAAGGGCTTCTTATCCTTTGGAAGAACTGACCCAATTAACTATGTAGAAATTGATATCTATGCCTATGATTTATGATATATGGATAGAAAAATTTAGTCTGAAGAAAGGTCCCATATTGAGTTTATTGTTGCCTCTATTGCTTTTGCATTTTTAATTTTTTCATTCTAACAGGAAGAATTAGCCTTAATGCTTTTTTGAGCAAAATTATTTGAAATAAAGTGAAAAATTCACACATTGTAATGAAGACCAACGTAAAGAAAATAGAAATATTTCGTCTTTTCATAGAACAGATGTTTAATACAAAAAGTTGTCTAAGCTTCTCATTCTCAC
The DNA here is from genome assembly GCF_000001405.40 of Homo sapiens. Classification (NCBI taxonomy): domain Eukaryota; kingdom Metazoa; phylum Chordata; class Mammalia; order Primates; family Hominidae; genus Homo; species Homo sapiens. The sequence continues at coordinate 323,449 of NW_017852930.1, read as the reverse complement.
ATTTAAGCTGAGGTCAGTAGTTGGAAACATAGTTGTGACTTGTTCTTGAAGCTAAATTTTTAACACATATTATTTTGGTTTACATATTATATACTACTTAGCACATTAAAAAGCTGTTAGAAGTTTTCTGATAGGTATGAGTTTTCTTTGTCGTAAATCAGTTGATGCACTTTTGTATACCTGAAAGATCATTACGGATGGTCAACAATGCTTGTTAAATGTCTGCTTCAGTGTCAAGTATAGAAATGATAGCAGTTTAAAGGGCAATATAATATTTACCATTTATTTCTTATTTAATTTCTTATTACAGAGGACAAGAAGGCATGAAAGCAGTTTAGACAAATATATTAGAAATCTCTTTTTTATACTGAGTTCTTTGGCATAGTTATAAACCTGAAGAGTAAAAATATTTAAAACACAAGGGAGTTTTTCTTAATATGAAGGTTCTAAAAATAGTCTAATTTTTATTGAGATTATAAAACTAGATATTAAAATTTTAATTTATGCTTGGGAGTCCAATTATAAAATTCATTTTTTAAATTCTTAAATGAAGATATTAATGAGCTTGTTTTATTTCCTGGGGTAAAAAATAAAAGAAGATTAGGAGCTGGTCTGTGCCAAATGTATTTACTAAACGAAAATTTTCTTAATCCTTTTGTGCCTGAAGTGTTAATTTCTCTTTGGGGTTTCAAAAAATATCTTACTTGCTTATGCTACATTTTGTCAAATTGAAGCATTTTTTTAAATTCCAAAAAACAGTAGAAAATAAGACAGAAGGAAATGGGGCTTTTGCCAAGATTTGACATTATGTTAACATTATTATCAGAAGTAAATTACTATTTAATTTGTCATGTAACCTTAGTGAGTTCAAGCTACTGCATGGTATTCATTTCTCCAAGGATTAGGGTATTCAGTAAACTAGACTGGATAAATCTCATTTATTTATATAAAAGTGATATATTATTGAATTTTTAGACATTTAATATTTTCTTTAAAAATGAATTGCTACTTGGTTTAGTGGATACAGTTTCAGAAAATAGAATAAAAGTTGTTCAGCTGACCAATTACAATGCAGTATTTTCCTATTTTAAATAACTTATTGCTAAATTTCTGATAGTGATATTGACACTTATCGATAGATTATTACATTATAACAATTGGAAAATATTTGTTTGATATGAAGTTCCCAATTCTTGTAATCTGTAGTTAGGGTTAGTAATTTCATGATTTTCCCACATGAATTGAGGGTGGGAGAGAAAAATGCCTAAAGTTAAATTAAGTGATGGTACGGTAGAAAAGTGACAAGACTTATTGTTACCTTAGTGATTTCAGTGTGGAAATAAAACAACTCATTTTGAATTACTTGGGAGCTATGATTTGGTGGGAACATTGTATAAAGTGTATTACCCTAAAGTTGTATGTATCTAATATTAGAGGCTTTGTTAGACTTTTCTATAATGATTTAAAGTCTTTTTTTTTTTCATTCCTGGTATTCAGATTTGGGTAGTTAACTTTCTATTATACAAAAGAGCTGAGTTGAATAAAGTTAGGAAGTCAGCTTATTTTGATGTACTGTTCTTTTTTTTTTTTTTTTTTTTTTTTTTTTTTTTTTTTTTTTAAATCATTGCACTATATTAATCCAGAGCATTTGGCTTAGACTTAAGCAAAGTGAGGAAGGAAGAAAGAGGCTGGTGTTTTAGTATTCTTCCTTCCCTTTAGTTTCATTTCATTTGTATATTATAGGCATACTGTCCTTGAACTTAGAAAATCAATCTTTTTTTTCCTAGTAAGCATGAATTTTAAAGTTTCTCTATTTTGGTGTGTATACAGAGGTTTTTTTGGTTCATTAATTTTAAAATTTTGATAAATTCTATGATTTTTTACATTTAAAAGAATAAAGCTTCATACGTACTTAATTATTTGTGATGCATCAAATATAGCAAATACACTATACCAGGAAACATAGCATAGTGGTATGGAAAATACTGGATTGTTTTGAGCCCATAATTTTGGTTTTTAGATTAAAATGCTACTCCAGTTGTAATCTAAATATATCTGTAGTTTGTGGCTTAGAAACAATGCATTTTAACTTAAAAAATAAAGCAAGGATACCTATGTCAGTTACATTTTAAAGTTATACACTGTTTTAAGGCTATGTATTTATTCCTTAAAAAATATGACTTACATGAATATTTTCTGTTGGACATAATATTGACAAAATATACACATGATAGTACTTTAACAAACTGCCATGCAACAAATACATTAAGTAATGAAGAAATTGAATATATATGACCTATCTAATTGACATTCACATTGAAAATTTACAACATAACCAATACTTAAAATATTTTTCTTATATTTGGCAGTAATATCAGTTTTTACAATTTAAATTTAAAACTCATTTGAATGTGGATTTGGTGAAACTGAGACTTTTCTCTAGTCTGTGACAACCTGAGGCACTAAACATTTTTCTCTTATTTCACTATCTTCAAAGGTAATTTTTTTGTTTCTTTTAGGATCTATCCAAGAGTTGTGTATTACAGCATTATTAGGCAGGGGATCAGCTTCTACTATAGAAACAACTCGCTTTTTCATTTTACTTTTCAAGACCTTTTGAAATTTTTGTCTAGTGAATGCATATAATAGAGGGTGAAATATAGTTGTTCCATAAGCCATGACTAAAAAACACAATCTTAATTTTACTAAAAGGTCACTTGGGCCTAAACATAAAATGGTGGTATTTAAAACAGAAATTGGTGTCCAGCAGAGAAGAAATGTAGAAATAATCAATAAAGACATCCTGAAGACTCTCTTTTGTCTTTCTCGTCGTTCACGGTGTCGTTTCACAGCTCGCCGGAGGGCAATTATTACAGAAACTGAAGTTCTTACACCAAAGACTACATTTCTCCCACCACTGCTTTGTGACATGTCTGTAGCCTCATGTTGTGTGGTTAGAGAAATTGTCTTTTTCTTTCTTGCTTTCTTCTTCTGCCCTGTTGAAAATCTTGTGCCTATTCGAATATTAAGAGCCTGAAGTATTTTGGTGTATGTGATTAACATTACTACAACAGTGAAAAAGAATATTGGGATCTGTACTAACAGGTGATAATACATTCCCAGTTCAGTGTAGTATTCATTTGTACTGACACATAAAAGTGTCTTGTTTTCCCAGGTATTTCCACTTTGAAGACTGAAAAAATTTACCTCAATAAAAGGAATCAGGAAAGAGAAAAAAGAAAAAATCCAAATGGATATCATTAACATTACAGCTCTGCCCATTGTCAGAATTCGGTTTGCAGGTTTTACAGAGATGTCATATCTGTCCAAAGTGATAGCAAAAACGTTGATTGCTGTTGAGACACTTGCAAAAGATACACAAGCCTCATGGAAACAGCAAATGAGAGCAGTGTTACTCTCCAGTGAAAGCAGAAGGATAACTATAGTTAGAGGAATACATCCCACACAAATTATTACATCAAGTACATGAAGATTCATTGTAATAATGTTACTGACAGAGTTGATTAAGTTGGATTTCATGCAGTAAAGTACCAATACAGTGAGGTTGCTGCCAAGTCCCAACACAATTTCTAACATAAGAAATCCGGTGAGAGACACTTGAAAGCTTAACGGATATGATAGTGGTTGGTACATATTGGTGTTGATGTCATCAATGTCATCTCGCACTGTAATGTTAGATTCAGACTGCATGTTGATTTCCAGAATGGGAGAAAAACACATTCTTTTGGAGCAGTTGGTTTTTTTCCCTAGAAAGTGAAATAGAATAAACTATTTGATATTTGGCAATTTAAATGACGTATAACGTGTTCTTTGTAAGAAAAAAAAATCTTTCAATTGTGTACTTAGTTTAATTTTTAAGTTTGTAAACTATTAATAGAAAATGTAGAATTAAGAACCATCAAGTTTGCATTGTTTTGATATAAAAGAAAATTGTGTTTTCCTTTTGAAGAAATAACTATGGAAATTGTTCCTCTGTAGTGCAAAGTTAATATGCTAAAGGGCTTTTCTCATTTGAGTATTTCAAGCTTATTATTTGAGATAAAGTGTATTTTTGTATGATAAAACTTCCTAGCATACAAAATTAATTTCAGCCCAGTGTCTTAAAATTTCATTTAAATGTTGTGAGTAGGTACCAAATGAATGCTATTTTAATATGCTCTAGCATAATGAGTGTAGGTGTAATTATTCCTGTGAGATTTCAAATGAACAGGACAAGTGTTCATTTAAAATGACAAATGGTACAGAGCACTAGTTTAAGATGCTTTATCCATGTTGATTGAATTCATATTCAGAAGTCAACAATGTGCTTGGTGATATTTGGGGTTATTTCCCACAGAAATAGGCCAGTGATTAATATTTTACATATCACAGTTACAATGCTCACTGAACTTTGCAGTTGGCAAACTTAAAAATTAGAACAAGTGGGACATTATGCTAAAATAAAAAGCTACAAAGCTTGGTAAAAGAGCATTAATCACTCCTATGAAATGATTTATTTTGTGACCACACCCTCTTGTATCTTGTGGAAACAGAAAATTGAAATTTAATATCACATTAAGAAATAGCCATTTTTGAAGTAGTTTAAAGGAATATATCAGTTGACATTGTTTAAACTGAGTTTTTAAAGTAAAAGATGAAATTTTAGGGAAAAGGAGTATGTGAAGCCCGTTTTTTGAGGAAGCTTTTAAAGTTACACATTACCTGTGAAGCCTTTTGTATATATCACCCATTGTCTAATTTTGAAGAAAAATTAAAAAAAAATACAAACGCTTTTGCTAATTCATGCAAATCTATATTTTAATATATAGGGGTTTAGAATAATTTGTAAAAAATAATGTCTAATGTTCTGGGCTAAAATGTCAGTTAATCAGTATATTCATTTTAAAATATGAACTCATACAACCAACTATATTTCACATTTCAAATACAGCATTTCAACTGCAAAATCATATTCAACATAAATTATAAAAGCTAATAATTTTCAAAATTCATGTTAACTTTCACTTGATGTTATATTTGACAAGTTTTAGAATACAGTTTTATTTATGAACTTTTTTGGGAATAATATTGCAGAAACACAAATGGTAACATTATTTCTTTTGAATTAGTATGAAGTATTACTAGAGGTATATTTATTCGAGTAAGTTAAGGTCTTAGCTAACATTGAAATCCTATAAAAATGGAAAATTTTAAGTGTGCCAAATTTTCTGAACTGACAGATTAAACATCAGGTCTTTGTCACATCAGTTAGATTTATAATTAAATAAAGCAGAAATGTCAAGTTAAATGATGATTAAGAAAAATACATTTTCTCTAGAGCAAGATTCTGTTCTTTCGTAAATGTTAAACAGTGTGGTGGGGTGCATGCATCTTCTGACCTACCTGTTTGCTGTTGCCTTATGGGCCTTTTGGTTCACTATGACAGTTTTTGGCAAATTGATACATGATATCATTGACAGATTTTGACATGAATTTTTACCTGACAACAGTGAAGTAGCTGTGTTTTATTTCATGTCTTGTAGGAATTCTTTCGTTTTCTCTCCAATACTTCAACTGCATGCATTATGAGATTTAGTTGGCTGATGGATTTCTAAAGAACAGTACATAATATTTGTATTTGTTTTGCTTTAAAAAGTCACGGCCAAGAGGAATTTCCTCAGATGATAGGAATTATGTTTCCCTTTGATGGAGTACATGATAATATTTCTTTATTTTCCAGAATATGTGAAAACAAAAAAGGAAACATAACGTTTGTAGCTTCTAAAATATATTTAGACATCCTTTTGTTACCATTGTAAATCTGTTTTTAATAGCAGTGCTCACTATTTTGAAATGATTTCTTGATCACATAACTTGCTTTATATTATAAATCCAGGCCATGTCCTTTTGATAAAAACCATCTGCTGTTTAATTTTGTTTGTTTTCATTAGAAGAGGATACATAATTGGTCATAAAAGTCAGATAGAAAAATCCATTAGTCATACCAATTGATATGAATATCTGAATATTTAGTGCAGAAAACACTTCCTAAATCTTCCTTTTGTGTGCTGATAAAGTATTTTCTTTTCTTTTTGGAAATTCATGTTTCATTATGTCTTCCAGAATCAGTAACTTCCACAATTCTGGTATATGAAAGTATAAACTTCCCCTTTTAAAAATTCTTTTCAGGCTTTTACAGTTATATTGTTTTTCTTTTTGTGGTTATTTTATGTAGCATCTTCTTAGGATACAGTTGATTTTTTATATTCCATCAGTAATGTAGACCTATTCCCTGGTTTTAACTCCTTAATGTCTTAAAGTCGTGTTACAAGAACATCTTGCAGTTCGTAGTTCAGACAGCTAGGGAGATGCTCAGTCAATTGCATTCTTCATATTGTCAGTTGTAAATACTGAATTAGCTGCTATTGGCCCTTGTGAAAAGAAGAAAATTGGTTAAGAAATAGGGTTTTTAATAATTTGTAATTAATTGCAAGTTACTTTAGTTTTGTTTAAAAACTATCCAGTATTTGTTATCAAAATAACCAAACTGTTATTATTAGAGCCACAGCTATATGCATAAAATTGTTTCTTTAAATAAGTCTTTTTTCCTAATAAAGATTGTATATATTATGTTATTTAACAATAGAGTTCACATTTCAAATACAATTGTGAGAGAAAAGCTATATTTTTTAAAACTAATTTCTGCTCTCATTTTAGAAGCTAACCTGTATTTTCAGAGATGATGAACAATTAGCATACACTAAACATACTGTTATTTCTTCTTTGTAATAAATTTAACAACATTTTTTGCTCTAAAAATATTGTAACTTGCCTAATTATTAGCACATGGTTTGAATTTTAACTCATTAAAACAGATTTCATAAGATACTATAAATTTCCATTGATGAATTGTTCATGTGGTTGAAATACAAAAGGTAATAAAAATTGTAACTGCAAATTAATTTTCAGTGAACATGCCAAATAATAAACTTAACATAAAATTAAGTAATAAGTAACAGCAAAATAGTAAACCTAGTTCTTTTAAGAAACAGAAGCATTTTTGAAACACTGGAGAAAAACTGTACTGATTACATTAAGAATATTTAGTATATCTGAAGTGACTCAAAAGCTGTCTTCATAATGAATTTACAAAGAATATTTGTATTTAACAATGCATCCTAAAAAATTACATTTAAAATGTAGCATGTCTTAAAAGAAATAGATCTTAAAATACATGTCTAGCAATAAGTAGAATTAAACAAACTCTTAAAATTTAGGCTGAAATTTTTCAAAGTAATTTTTACCCCACTATGCCGGTTCAAAAGCAGCTGTATACTATAATAGGAACAAATCTTACCTCTGCTAAAGATTTGATAAATTCTTGATGTAGTTGAAGCATTTCCAGTTTGGATTGATTCATTTTGTTCACTTGTTAGTAGAGGACTGGGGGAAGAGGGTCATAAACATCTCTTCGAAAATGACCTTAATGAAAATATGTGTCTGTAGTGTGCCATTGTTTCAGCAGTACTGCTAATGTATGGAACATGTAGTGCTGCTTAGAGGCTGCTGCAGTCTCTCACTCTTCCTACTGTGGAATCAATAAGCATCTGAAAATACATAATGAAAGTAATTTAACATACTGAAGGCTTCTTGTCTCCAGAGACAACATTTAGATTCAGTCTTTCTAAAAAGGAACGGCACTGCTTTTCAGAGGAAAGCCTGTTCGGGCAGCTTTTGCAGAATGACAGCCTACCTTGTCGCTTCTCTCCACTGCAGAGAGATGCAGTGTATTCACTAATTTTGATTGGTCAGTTGTATTGGGCTTAAACTGTGCTTCATATGTATAGCAGGGATTTCCCCCGCTCCCCACTGTTTTATATAAAGGACACTTTTAAAAAGGCTAAATTTATGAGTGGTTGTATGTTGTTCTTAAATAGAATATGTGTAAATTAGTATTTTAAAAATGTGTATTCTATTCTGGTTTGTTGGTCACTTATGCCAAACATTAAAAAAAAATGCAGGGAGGTGGGGGAACAGGAAAGAATTACATAGTAAAAAGTATATATGCTTTCTAAAGCCTTGATAATTGCATTTGAGAATATTTTAGTCATATATAGGTTTTTGATTGAGATTCTTTGTTCTACAAATAGAAACCCACTGCATCTTTACTGTGAGCCACAGTGAATTTTAAATAGTTTGTTTGTATTCAAGTCATCTTCTCTGGGTATTCCAAATTGTTGTGAGCATCTCAAGGTGTTAAACATTGTCATGACTTCAGTATTCATTCATTTGGGTATTCATTCATTTCATTCATTCATTCATTCAAAATAATAATCAGATTGACCTAAGGTGATAATACCCTAAAATATTTTTTAAACATTTCATTATAGTAGCTTAGTCTCGGGTATAAAACTTCAATCAGTAATCATTGTATTACTTTTGGAGATTACTACTTGGTCTTCACCTTTCATAACCCTTTTATTTGGTAGATGTATACTGATCATTTGCTATAATATTTTATTTCAATTGGCTTATTCTATTTTTGACCTGGGCACATTTCTTAGTAGATTGCTGTTTCTTAAATATGATATGTAGCTACACGCTAATATTGTTAGTAAAATATTATTTTAAAGGATAAAGTAAGTTACATGTCTTTATAAGTTATAAAGCCAAATCATTATAAGATAGATACATTTTCAAAATGAAAATAATGGTACAAGTACTGAATATTTAAAATTAAATATTTAAATATTTAAATTAAAAATTTTAAATTAAATTAAATTTAAATTAAATTTAATATTAAAAATAAAATTAAAATATTTAAAATTAAATTTCTGTTAATTTTAGTTACCTATAAATAAGTTCCTGTTTTTAATGATGAGGATAAATTTCTTTTAGACTTAAGTAGATAAAACAGCTGGACTCTGTTGACAAAATAGAGGACATTACATGTGGCTAAACTGTTAGAATGTTAATTATCACCTGTTTCCATTATTTTAGGAATATTTAGTGACCTTCATTTTTCAAAATGTATACTGGTTTTTATTTGCAATTGGAACTATTCTCTTATTATTTGAAAAGCCGTATGCATTTTTATAATCTTCCACTGGTAGTGTTGAATCTTTATAGGGGAATAGCTGACCAATATGAGTTGTGAGTTGCATTTCTATAGAAGTTGAGAGTAATATGGTGGAAAATTTTGTTGTGAATTTCTAAAATCTTCTGCACAGCTTTGGGTGGCAAGGCTTTGGTAATTCTAAAAATGAAAATGTTGTGCTGCTATTCATGCATTTTGAAAGTTGGGGAAAAGGATCTTGCTAGAATGCCAGCCATTTATAAAGAAAACTTACACACACCGAAACACACACACACACACACACACCACAGCACACACATTCATTTAAGCTTAAAACTAAGACCAGAGAAAGCATAGCATCAGTGGAAATATGTGATGGGGATGAGGAGATTATTAACACAGCAGAGTGCTTTTCTGCCAGAGTTCAAGTATTTGCTTATGTTTATCATCAGAATATCCCCATGAAGTAGAAGAAACAAAGGTACAGAGAAATTTACTGACTTGAAAGGGTCAAGGTAAGTTAGCAGCAGAGTCAATGTTAAAACTGCAAACCACGCTGTACTAGGCGGTTGGCCTTCTCTCTTTGGAAAATTATGAAGGTCTTGGGACTTAGAATTGGATAATCTAGATTTAGTTGCTATTTATTACCTATATAACTTTTGGCAAGTCAAACATCCTTTGGGTCAACTTTGATTCCTTTTGTTGAAGTATATTTTTGTGCTTTGTTTAACTCTTTGTGAGACAGTGTTTTCAAGTTATATTCAGATTATTTCAAAAAAACAAAATCTGGGGTTTCTGAGCCATAATGGTAGCTCGAGCACAGACAGTGCTCTTTATTTTCTGTATGAGTAACTTGTCTCCAAGGATAAATAAGATATCACAAACTTTTTTTATTGTGTACAGTGCTTAGTATAATTTTATTTCCTTTTTAAAAACCACAAATTGGTGATTAACAAGGTATGCCGAAATCTTAACAAGGTAATTCCAACTTCCCCTGTTTTTAACAAATATGCAAATATCTCAACTACTGATTGAGAATCAGATTATATTATTTTCATGAAAAAAATTAATTACAGACCGGGTGCAGTGGCTCTCACCTGTAATCCCAGCACTTTGGGAGGCTGAGGCGGGTGGATCACTTGAGGTCAGGAGTTCGAGACCAGTCTGGCCAACATGGTGAAACCCTGTCTCTACAAAAAATACAAAAATTAGGCATGGTGGCACAAGCCTCTAGTCCAGCTCCTCGCGAGGTTGAGGAATGAGAATCGCTTGAACCTGGGTGGCAGAGATTGCAGTGAGCTGCGATTGCACCGCTACCCCTCCAGCCTGGGCAACAAGGTGAGACTAGGTCTCAAAAAAAAAATAATAATAATTTCAGATTATCAATTTATGAAGATCCTTGTTTCCGTAGTAACACTCACACTTGTGCATTTAATATATTTTGTGCAATTAATATAACCTTTATATACTAACCTAGGAGAGCAGTTTGACTTCCTAATAATAACTAAGCACTAGATATGATTCTAACCCCAAAATACAGCTCAATTAAAATCCTTTTTTAAAAGTCGTGCTTTTCTTTTTAGTTATAAATATTTTAATTGCATATCTGTTTTAATTCCTCCTATGGGAAGTCTCTAACTAATTTTATGTATTTGTTTTCTTAAATTTTGACAACCGTGACTATGACAGAGTAATTTATTGTATATTTACATTGTACTATTCATATCAAATCATTCTTACCCAGCTTGTGGCTAGTTCTGATGCCACAGTTTTGAAGATTCTCTGAGTTTGTAAATAAAAACTCAGCTTTGTGAAATATTGGAATTCACCATAACTGAAAGTACTTTGAAACAATTTTAAGGTATCTATGTACAAACAATTTTTAATTGCTGAAAATCAGTTTTAAGCTGTATTGCGACAAGGGTCCTTTTTCAGTGGATACTTAGCGTAGTAAACCTTGAACTCTCTCTGATACTGGAGCCCATAGAAAAAAGGTTTATTTTGCTTTAATGCCAATTCAGAGATTTTATTTGGCTTCTCAACTTTACATTTCTTTCACAACAAATACTTTATCAGAAAAATAGAAATGGACCATCTGCTGAACTTCCATCAAGTGGGGAGTAGCAGAAGTCGTAGAGAATCAACAACATTGGTGATTCATTTTCTATATGAGAATAACTGAATACTGATTATATTTGATAAAGCACATGCATCAGAATTGCATACACTTAACAGATAGAAAATCCAAAGCCATTCTTTCCCATCCTTCCCTACTTCACCTAAATTGGGCATTTACGTTTTTTTCATTTTTATTTTTCACACTGTGTTTGTAAGTCATTTGCCAGTATCACATACATTATAAAAGTAAATACATGGCATTTCTTGCCATTTTTCCATCCATACCTACACTTTGGATCCTGTGACTATTATTACAATTTATCCTCCCTCTGTTGCACAACGGTTGGCATGTCTACTTTGGGGCTTTGTCCAAATTATTACCTTCATGTCCAGTTTTCTGGTTTACTGTTTTGACTGCTTACTATCCCTCTTTGCCTTCCTAAATATTATGGATTTTATTGATGTTTTTCTCTTATATTTTCATCAAGGAACTACACAAATAGCCATGTTTGTGCTCCATCACCCCATTGATTTCTCTTTTCTCTTGCTTCCTTTTTTTCTTTGCATAATTCTCTTACTCTTAAGTTATGCAGAATCAAATTAATTTTGTGTCCTGAGGCCAAGTCCATTGATCAACTAGATTACATATTTAACAAAGCTGTGTCAAGTCCCCTGTTTTGTGCTGTTATGACTCTTATGCTGTGCTGGGGGACATAGCTGACTGTCTACAATCTAGTGCTCTGTTATTGATACTAGTTAGATACATAACATTTTTGTAAGAAGGCTGCCATTCTTTATATGAAGAGCCTGAGAATGGCAGAGTTTTACTATAGGCTGTAGTTCTACTATAAACTCAGTAACATCCACTATACTACTTGAGTCATCCATTTGGGAAAATGAATGCATTTTAAGAGTTTAATTAATAATTCTTAAAGACTGTAATCACTGGTGTCTTTCTGCCAGGTATATTCAGCAGTGTTTCTTCAGTTACTCCTACCTTCTGATCTCTGTTTAGGGGTGCAATATCTATAAAAAGTCCTGCTGTTATTTTGATTGGTATTGCAGAGAATCTGTAGATCAGTTTGGAAAGAAATGACATCTTAACAGTATTGAGTCTTCTAACTTATGAACATAGTATCTCTACTATTTTTAGGGCATTTTACATTTATTTCGTCAATATTTTGTAGTTCTTGGCCTACAGATCCTGCACATATTTTGTTAGATTTGTATTTAATTATTTCTTCAGTACTGTTGAAGTAGCACCTAATTTTTTAAAAAAATCCAATTGTTTATTGTTAGTATATGTAATTAGGATCATATTGAACTCATATCCTGCAACTTTACTAAATTCATATATTAGTCTTGGGAGTTTTTTGTGTGAATTCCATGGTATTTTCTATATAGACAATTGTCTGCAAATAGAGATAGTTTACTTTTTCCTGAAACATGTGAGACTTACTTATATTCTTGCCTTCTTGTACTGCCTAGGACCTCTGGTATTAGGTTGAATGGGAGTGTGTTGGGAGAAACAATCCCCATAAGCCCTGAATATCCCTGAACATTCTTGCCGGATATGCTGAGAATGCAAAGCCCTAACAGAACTACCCTTTACTCCATCCATTTCTCAGGAAGGGGTTGTAGCTAGCAACCTTGAGGAATGAAGTAATGACACCCTAGACAAATAGAATACAAGCAGACTTGCTTTTCTTTGTTATAAAAATGGCAACTTTCCCAAGCTCAGTGCTCTTCAGCTGTGAAAAAACCCGTAGTATACAGAGCATCCACAGTCCCTTTGCCAGGGACTTGGAGGGCAAGGTGAATTTTCACTGATATCATGCTCATACTGCTTGCTGCATCATGGGTAATACAGTTCTTTGGTTCGGACCCAGGCATCTTACATCTTATGTTAGCATCCATGAAACAGTAACAGGCTAGCTTCACAGCTTATAAATAGGGTAGAATCCCAGACCCTAAACAATTTTTGACATTTTTGGCTACAAGCATATGATGTTGACAGAGATAAGGTTTCCTGAAAGAGAAATGACAGGGCTCTTATGGGCTGGTTTAGAGGATATGAGACCAGTAGCGAATGCTCTTGTTTAAGTGGTGGGGTAGTAGTACAGAGTAAGAGTCTCCTAACGACCTGCCTGTTAATGAATTTTTTGAGGCTAAGCAGTGAGGGGTGGAAATGAATGAAGCTTCTCAAATAGTGCCTTGGTTATTGCTCACTCTCTAGGCTGGAGGAGGAAAAATTATTATTATATCAACAAAACAGCAAGCCTCAGGGCCCTAAGGCAAAAGGCAGTATGGCTGTAGCTGCTGAATGAAGGGCTTCTGAGAGCTAACATAAAAGATGTCAGCAATGAGGATGTGGAGCTTTGGGTAGACTAAGTATATTATAAGTTCATTTGTGGAGTCTGAGTGGGCAGCCACTTGAAATTGAATGTAAATGCAGTCTTGCTGACTGGTACATAGCTGCTCTTTTACTTTGTGGACTCCCATTTTTCTCTACCCCCTCTATTCTAACCTCAGCTGCTTAAGATAAAAGCCAAATATGGTAGGGAACCTTAGGGAGGGAGAGAAATTCAGACTTTTTTTTAGCTCTGTTGAATAGAGATGCTCAATTCGCCATCCTACGTGGTCCTGTGGGAAAAAAGCACAGTAGGTGTCAAGGTAGGCTGAAGGCACTGAGGACTGCAGGGTGGAGTTCTAGCAGCATGCACAGGGGCAAATTAGAGACCCCTAGGCCCAAGCACTTCCAGGAGCACAGCGTCACCCTGGAGTGAGAAACCAAAGCAGAAGAAAAGCCTTCCCACCACCACAGTCCTCTGCAGAATAGATTTTCCCCGCTACCTTGTCTTCCCCATGCTCCTGGTTAGGAAATAATGTAGTCTCCTGGCAGCTATGGCTGTAGTCCCTTTTGTGCATATGTTAAATTACTTGGTCTGTGTTCCTACAGGGGGTAAAACACTCAAATTTTAAAAAGCTAAAATGTAGATGGAGCCTCTGGGCCTATTCAGTGTACTATTGTTTTGGGTTCCTCTGCTAAATGTATAATTAGTATTGATAATTTTATGTTCTTACACTATGAATACTTACAGATTTAGAGGAGATTCTCCTATTCATGGGCTGCTGCATGTAAAGAGGTGTTCCCCTGTCCCCTTTCCCCTCCCTGGGTGATTCAGCAAAAATAATGTATCATCCCAGGAGGGAAGAAAAGAAAATCACAACTTTGGTTAAAGGCTCCATGACTGCTGGAGAACTCAACCATTTCCCAGTACAGCAGTGCCACCTGCCTGACCCAGCTACCAAGTGCATCTCTTTTGAAAAGGCAGATACAGCTTTGAAAAGGGATGCAGCTGACCTGGCCTTAGTATCATTTTGGCGTTCCATGAAGTAGAACCTACCCCTTTTGGGGAAAAGCTTATTTCTCACTTTGCCACCTGAAGCAAAGCAATTGACTCATTACGGCCCTGGATTTAAGGAATTTCTTATAAATACCTGGGCCTGTTTCACTTACAGTTCAGCCCAATTAAAAGCTGATGCAGTTGTTCAGGGTCAGTGCCAGCTACAGAAAAGTGAGAGTGTGTTCCATCACTCCATTCTTATAGCTTTGACCAATATGCCCCTTGATTAACCTTTTTATATTTTTACTGGCTCCTGGCCTGTTGCCAATAGCCTAACCTTCAGGTCTGCTGTTAGAAGACTAACAGATTTAAAACAACTTTTCTTTGGGACTGCAAATTGTGAAAACAAATTATAGTTGCCAGTCAGACAGTCTGGCTTACTCAAACCTGTACCTCCCAGATTGCCATCATTTCTACCTGGATTCGTTATTGTATCAGATATGGTAATAAATCCACTATAATAGTCTGGGCAATCATTGTGTCCTGGTTTTTGGGAATAGGGACTTCAATCAGTGTCCCACCCCTGCTTCCACTTGTAGGATGAATTCCTTTTCCTCCTTCATGGCTAAAGTTTTTTTTTTTTTTTTTTTTTAGGCATTTTTCTTCTCCTAGTTCTAATGTGTTTTCAACAGTGCTCAAAGCATATTGGGGTTGTTGCCTTTCCCTCTGGGGTTTAAGGCTCCCCTCTGACCCCTTACCCCCCATATTAAAGATGGTAGAAAGGATCCAGCCTGGACTTCATGCTTTCCCTCAGTGGCTTCATGCTTCCCTCAAGCCTGCACCATGAGAAATGCTTTGTCAGGCCTTTCACCATACACTCAGTCTTTTTGTGTATGCCTGTGAACATCTGGTGAGATCTTTGCAAAAGTCCATGAATGGGTATGAATTCCCTTTGTGTCTGTAGATCCTCTGGCTTCTATATTTTCTTGTGAACACACACTTAGCCTTTAGCAATTCATTAACGGTTTTGACTGAATTATTCTTACTGGTGTCTAGTATTGTCTTCCCCAGGTACTCAAGTGCTCACGTCCCATGTGTCCTGCCTTTCATTAGAATTTGGATTGGTTAGTTTCCCAGTAACTGCAGCACTCTGATGAGTTCAAGAAGTTTCTATTTGTAGATCATTTGTTTTTCCCTTGTTCTTTTTTGTAGTTACAGTGTGAGCTATGTTCTGTCCAGCTTTGTGCATCTCATATGGAAGCTGGGATTTTAATTGATATCACAATGAACCTGTCTATCTGTTAGGGAACATTCACACCTTTGTATTGAGTCCTCCGATCTTTAAACATGGTATATTTCTCCACTTATTTAGGTTGCTTTAATTTCTCTTGGTAATATTTTGTAATTTTCAGTGTAGAGGTCTCACACATATTTTGTCAAGTTGGGTAGTGCTAGACTCATAACATTTTTGATACTATTACAAACAATATTTTAAAATTTTGATTTGTTTATATAAAGAAATACTGTTGAATTTTGAATATTGAACTTAAACCATATGATTTTGCCAAACTCATTTATTTATTCTTTTCTTGATTCCTTACGATTTCCTTCTTACAGAATTATATTTGAATAAACAAAGGTTTATGTCATCCTTTTCAATCTTAAATCTGTTTTGGTCTTGCCTTATTGCCGTAGCCAAGACCACAAGTAATATTGAGTAGAAATGGTGAGAGCAGACATAACTGCTTTTTTCCATGTCTTCAGGGGGAAAGTATTCAATCTTTCATTATTAGGTTTGATGCTAGGTATACGGTTTTTATGGATATCATTTTTCAGGTTGATAAAGTTTCCTTCTTTGTTGAGAATTTTTATCAGGAATGCATATTACATTATTTAAGATTTTTTCCATTTAATGAGGGTTCATATGGTTTTTCTCATTTAATCTAGTAACATGATAAATTACATGGATTTGTTTTTTTAATGTTAAGCCAACCTTGCATTTTTGACATAAACCTATTTTGATAGTACTACCTTTTTAGATATTGCATGGTTGTATCAACAATTATTTTTAAAAAATCTTTTGCCTATGTAGTCATAAGGCCTATTGGTCTGTCATTTTCTTTTATTTTAATATTTTGATCTGGTTTTGGAATCAGGACAATGCTGGACTCCAGTGAGTTGAAAGATGTTCTTTTTCTCCAATTTTGAAAATGTTTTTGTAAGATCAGAGTTAGTCCTTTCTTAAATGTTTAATAAAATTCACTAGAGAAGACATTTGAGCCAAGAAGTTTTATGTTGTTCAAAGTTTTAAATTATAAATTCAAATAATTTAATAGATAATAGATTCATATTTTCTATTTCTTCTGTGTTTTAATATATATCTTTTGAATAATCAGTTTACATTTAAAAGTTGCTAAATTTATTAACATCAACTTGTTTTTAATATTTCCTCATTGTATTTTAATTATCTGTAGGATCTGTGCAGATATCTTCCCTTTTATTACTGATATTTGACAATTTCTATCATCTTTTTTTCTTTTTGAGTTTGCCTACAAGTTTACCAATTTTCTCAATCTTCAGAAATAATTACCTTTTGATTTCTTTGTTCTTAATGAACAATGTTGTTATGTTCTTTTTCTGTTTTATTGATTTCTACTCTTTAGTATTTCCTTTCTTCTCTACTTTGGTAAAAGTTTCTTTCATCAATTTAAATTTTTTTTTATACGTGGTTCAGTATTGTTTTACCAACATTCCACAACTTTGGATGTTTTATTTTATATCGCTTAGTTCAGTATGCTTTCTAATTTTCCTGAAGTATCTCTTTGCTGTTACTTGGGTTATTTCAAAGTATGTTGTTTTTTTTTTCTTTTTGAGGCAGAGTTTTGCTCTCTCACCCAGGGTGGTACGATTACTGCTCACTGTAGCCTCGACCTCCTGGGCTCAAGAGATTCTCCCACCTCACCCTTCCAAGTAGGTGGCACTACAGACATGTGCCACCAGGCCCAGCTAATTTTTGTATTTTTTGTAGAGACAGGGTCTCACCGTGTTGCCTGGGCTGGTCTTGAACTCCTGGACTCAAGCAATCCTCCAACCTCAGCCTCCAAAAGTGTTGGGATTACAGGCATGAGCCACCGTGCTCGGCCAAGTGTATTTTTCTAGTTTTTAAATACTTGGTGATTTTTCAAAATTTTTTGTTATCGGTTTCTAATTTAATTTCATTATGGTCAGAGAACATGATTTGTATGATTTCTGTTCTTTTAAATTTGTTTAGGTTAGTTTAATGGCTCAGTATATAATCTATCTTGGTGATTGTGCTGTGTACTCTTGAAAATAATGTGCTTTCTCTCATTGTTAGGAGTAGTGTTCTATAAATGTCAAACAGGTCAAGTTAATGATAGTATTGTACAATCTTCTCTAGCCTTACCGATAATGTTTTTACTGTTCTATTAACTTTTTTTTTTTTTTCCCTGAGCCAGAATCTTGCTGCATCACCCAGGCAGGAGTACAGTGGTGCTATCACAGCTCACTGCAGCCTCAACCTCCTGGACTCAGGCAATCCTCCTTCCTCAGCCTCCCAGGTAGCTGGGACCACAGGTGTGTACCACCGTACCTGGCTTTTTTTATTTTTCCCAGTAGATATGGGGTCTCCTTAGGTTGCCCAGGCTGGTCTTAAACTGCTGGTCTCAAGGATCCTCCTGCCCTGGCCTCTCAAAGTGCTGGAATTACAGTCGTGAGCCACCACACCTGGCCCTGTTCTATTAACATTTAAAATAAAGATAATTTTTTTTTTTACTGAAAAAAAGAGTTGTGAAATCCTTGCCTATAATTGCAGATTTGTCAGTTTTAGTTTTTTGACTTCATCTGGTTTTTGTTTCATGTGTTTTTATCGGGTGCATGCACATTTAGGATTGCTATGAAATACATGTCTTTGTGCTCAATGATAATCCTTTTCTCCTGTCAGTAAAGCTATTCCAGGTTCATTCTATATAGTTTGCATCATATATATAGACTATTTTTTAACCTTCACTTTTAACTTAACTTGTTTATTTTTGAGGTGTATTTTCTGTTGATAGTAATGGTTTGTTTTTGCTTTTTAAATCCAATTTGATTTTTGTCTTTTAATTAGAGTGCAGAGTATTTGCATTTAATCTAATTTTCATATGGTTAGGGTTACATCTTCTGCCTCTCATTTGTTCTGTTTGTTCCATGTATTCCTTGTTCATTTTTTCTGTTTCCTACCCTTTTTTGGATTGAGTAATTTTTACATTTCCATTTTACCTTCTCTGCTGACTTATTGGCTGTATATATATAATAATATAAATGTGTGTGTATATATGTACATATAATATATGTATATATAACATATGTACATATATTTGTTATATATACATATAATGTACATGAAATACATGAATTCTCACTCTGTTGCCTAGGCTGGAATGCAGTGGAATGATCTTGGCTCACTGCAACTTTGACTTCTCGGGCTCAAGTGATCTTCCTGCCTCAGCCTCCTGAGTAGCTGAAACTACAAGCACTTACCACCACACCTGGCTAATTTTTGTGTATTTTTGTAGAGATGGAATCTTGCTATGTTGCCTAAGGCTGGGGTCTTCAACTCCTGGCCTCATGTGATCCTTCTGTGTTGGCCTCCCAATGTGTTGGGATTACACATGTGAGCCACTGCACCTGGCTTAGCTATATTTTTTAGTTTTCTTGTTTTAATGGTTGTTTTAGGTTTTTTGATATACATGCTTAACTCACACAGTCTAGTTTGAAGTAATAGCACATCATGTATAATGTTAGAACCTTACTATTAATACAATATAATTTCTTTTGGCCCCTTCCATCTTTTCTGCTGTTTTTTACTTCATAGTACAGTGTCACTATTTTTGTTTTAAATAGCCAGTTATCTTTCAGTTTTTTAAGAAGTTTATGTTTATCCGCATATTTACAATGGCATTGTTCATTTCTTTTTGTACATCAGGGATACCTTCTGGTATATTTTCCATCAGCCTAAAGAACTTACTGTGACAGCTTTTGTAGTGCAGGGTTGTTTGCAACAAATTCTTTCTGTTTTTCTTGTCAAAATATGTTCTTTTTGTCTTCATTTTTGACTTTCACTCAATAATAGCTCTATACACACACTTTATTCTTCCATCATTCAAAAAATGTTTTGTTGTTTTATGGCATGCTTGGTTTCTGATGAGAAGTCTGTGATCATTCTTATCTTTGTTCCTCAGTTCTGTGATGTATCTTCTTTCCTCTAGCTTCTTTTAAGAGTTCCTCATTATTTCATTGTTTTTATAATTTTCATTGTGATGTACCGTGGTGTAATTTTTTGTGTGTACTCTCCTTCCTTGCTTGGGGTTCACTGATATTCATGGATCAGTGTTTTTGTTGTGGTTGTTGCTGCTATTGTTATTTGTTGTTTTTGTTTTTTCATCAAATTTGAAAAAATTATTTCATTGTTTCTTCAAATACTTTTTTTCCTTAGAACATTATTCTCTTTCTTAGACTTCAAAAACTCCTATTTTAGGCCGGGCGCAGTGGCTCACGCCTGTAATCCCAGCACTTTGGGAGGCTGAGGCGGGGGGGATCACGACTTCAGGAGATCGAGACCATCCTGGCTAACATGGTGAAACCCTGTCTCTACTGAAAAATACAAAAAATTAGCCGGGCATGGTGGCGGGCACCTGTAGTCCCAGCTACTTGGGAGGCTGAGGCAGGAGAATGGCATGAACCTGGGAGGCGGCGCTTGCAGTGAGCTGAGATTGCGCCACTTGCACTCCAGCCTGGGCGACAGAGTGAGACTCTGTCTCAAAAAAACAAAGAAACAAACAAAAACTCATATTTTAGACTTGGTATTTTTCCCCATGTCATTGATGCTTTTTTTTTTTTTTTTCTCCTCATAGCTTTAATTTGTTTGGGTAGTTTTGGTTGCTCTGGTTCCTGTTTCATCACTCTTTTTAATCTTTTATAGTGTCTGATTTGTTGTTAAGCCCCTCTAAGGAACTTTTCAGTTCAAATATTGTGTTTTTCAGCTCTGGAAAGTTTTATTTGATTAATTTCTATAGTTACAATTTCTCTCTATTCATGTGTTTCTTTAAATCTGTGAATATACTTTTAATAGATATTTTAATATCTTTGTCATGTAATTTTGTCATCTTTTTTGCATTCTAGTATTTCTAATAATTTGTTATTGGGTGCTGGTCATGTTGTTGGAATACTATGAATGGATTTTGTTATCCATTAGTGAATGTTGTACTTTGTTCTATCAGGCAGTTAAGTTACTTGTGGATCAACTTGATCCTTTCACACTTGTTTTTAAGCTATATTAGGGCAGCTTCAGAGGAACATTTATTCTAAGGCTAGTTTAGCCCTACTGTTAAGGCATACTCCTTCATAGAGCCATATTGAATGCTCCTGTTATTTAATGGTATCTCCCTTTTTAGCATTCCAAGCTAGAATATTTTGCAGTATCCTGTGAGTTTGAGAGTTGATCAGTTTTGCAGATTTTCTGGTAGTGGTTCTTTGCCTGGCCTTTTTGAGTCTCACTGTGTACATTTATAACTTAATATTTCTTTGAAGATTCAAGAGTCCCTATATAGAATTTTCTGGTACTGTTTCTCTGCTTAGCTTACCTTTTTTCTGTTATTCTGACCTGAGAATTCCAGCTTTCTCAGCCCTTCCTTAACTCAAATTTGTCCCTTCAACTAATTGAGTTCGTTGTGTTTACTGAGGTTTTCCCCTTACATTATAGGGGAAAGTATATTTAGCCGAAAGCTAAAGTATATTTAGCTGAAAGCTATATTTTAGGGATCACAGTCCTGCATTGCCTGCTGTCTAATATCTGAAAAGAGTAGTTTCATAAATTCTGCCCCATTTTCTAGTTGCTAGGGTAAATCCTATACCAATTATTCTGTTAGGTTGGAAGTAGAAGTTTTAAATCTGTTTTTACAACTTAATTGTCATGGCACTTCTTTTAGCAATTATGAACTACCTTGAGGCATTTCTTTTACTGGTATCTTAAAGTTATGTCTTAAAGTTATTGAAAATCTTTGGTGGTTGTTTTACTTTTTACTCCTTGTTTCTTATGTTAGAACCGATAGGTTAGCAATATTCTGAATCATGCAGATCTGATTCTTGATGTTTAAAATATCTGCTCTGGGCCAGGCACAGTGGCTCATGCCTGTAATCTCAGCACTTTGGGAGGCCGAGGCGGGCAGATCACTTGAGGTCAGGAGTTCGAGACCAGCCTGGCCAACATGGGGAAACCCTGTCTCTACTAAAAAATAAAAAAAAAAATTAGCCAGGTGTGGTGGTGCGTGTCTGTAGTCCCAGCTGCTTGGGAGGCTGAGGCACAAGAATCGCTTGAACGCGGGAGGCAGAGGTTGCAGTGAGCAGAGATAGCACCAGTGCACTCCAGCCTAGGTGGATGGAGTGAGACTCTGTCTCAAAAACAAACAAACAACAGATCTGCTCTGGACAGTTTTCTTTCATAAATGCTTCCATAATTTTTTTGTTGTTGGAGGAAAAGATGTGCTGGAGAAAAAAATCATAAACTATGCAAATTTATGCCCTATGATCTCTAGTCATTTCTCTGTCTCTCTCTCTCACAGGTGTTATTACATATACCATCAGTTAGCAAACTTTTTCTACAAAAGGCCAGATAATAAATATTTTAGGCTTTGTGGGCTGTATATAGTCTGTGTCACATATTCTTTGTTTTCTTTTTTGACCTTTTAAAAATGTAAAAACATTTTCAGCTTGAGGGCTGAGACCACCACCACTTTGTTCACATAACCTTCCCCTTTCATTTTTACCAGGAGACCTTACTTTTTACTTTATTGCAAAAACAAATAAATTTTATCAACTTTTTGCTTCCTGTGCATCTCATCTAAAAGTGTATCTAGACCTTCAATTATTTGTCTATCTTTCATTCTTGTGTTGAGGGAAGATAGATGCATGTCCTTTCGTTTAAGCCTAAACCCACTTTGTGGATTCCCCTTCCACATTCATTCACACGTTGTTCTAGTTTGCACTCCTATGTATTATCTTCCCTGACTCTTCCAGCTATACTCTGTTAACATGCTCTGTTCTCACTTTATTCCTGCTGCTTTAAATTTTGTATTCATGCCATCCACCACGACAGCTTATCTTATTATGTACTTTTAGTTGAGTTTAAATTGCAAATGGAAAAAATAATGGTCTTTAAACTGTAATAAAGTACTTAGGTATAAGGTGTTTTACATACTCATTTCTGAGTCAATCTTGGCAACATTTTCTTTATTTCATAAATTAACAGCTTTTTTTCCTCCAATGACAACATATTAAGACATATTAGAACATCTCAAGCAAAAATCTTCTGCGATGGGGAAGGAAATACTCTCTAAAAGGCAAAATATTAAGTACAGATTTTTTTTTTCTTTTTAATTTTAGGAATCAGACTAGATCTAGGCACATTGTGTTGCAGGCATCACCTCACAAATCTGCCAACCCATGTCTTTTCTGAGCTTCAACACAGCTGCTGTCCTAACCAGCAGCTCTCCTTTCCTCTCCTTGATAGTGGTTTGCATTGGTGTTATGGTTTATGTTGGGGAAGAAAAAATACAAAAGAATCTCTTCTTCATTTTTCTTATGATACTATGGGTTTAAAAAACTATAATGTGAGTTAAGTAGCAGTGGCTTCTTCAGGATCATCCTTATACTAAGAAACACAAAGGGCATTAGGTGTTTTAAATATAGATGAGTCCATTTATATAAAAAATACTTTAAAGAATAAGATTACTTGTAAAGAATAAAGACGTTAAAAAACTACATGTTCTTACAACAATTTGTTCTATTATTTTTTCCCTGTAATACAGTTATTCCTCCCCCGTTCCCCACACAACAGATTTGTAATGTAAGA